>NC_000005.10:161518899-161821930 GCF_000001405.40 Homo sapiens
TTAAAAGTGGAATTTATTAGCTTTTAAAACAAATCACTGTAGACAGCAGTAGTGATGGTTTCTTAGGCACCAACCTCACAACGACCACCTTTTGAGCTCTATAAGGTTAACAAAGAACAGTAAGTAGCTTCAGGGCAGAGTTTATGAAGTGGTAATGAACATGTTGAGATGGCCATTTCAGAGGCTGTAAAGAAAGGTTAAGTTTCATGTCACTATTTTGAAAACCACTATGCCCTTTAGCGCAAACTAGAAAAGAGATGAATAGGCAGGTCACAGGGTCTCTTTTGGAGACTGTAAGCCACAACTGAACTGATAATATTTTGGCAAGTGAATAGAAATTGATCCATGCACACATATAGACTCACAGCTTTTCATTATGTTCATCTCAATTATCTTGCAATTGAAAACTACTTTGCTTGGCATTACAGTAATTATGTTGGGCCTACATTAAGGCATTACCCCTTGTTTAAAGAAGAATATATTTCCCAGATACACACCCATGACTTTACGAAGAAGGCTTTATGAAGCTCTCCTCTAGGTGCCTGCTCTTCTGACAATCATTCTACCACTAAAGGTGGCCACATGATCTTCCAATGAAGGCAAAAATCAATGAAGCCTCACATTGAACCCTCTAGGATGTAACAGTTATTTAATATTTTCATATTAGAGAAATTCATTAAAGAACCTTGTTACTTGTAAATCTCATCAAAAATTGAGGATTAATTAAAGCATAAAAACTATCAATAAATGGTTTATAATTACTAAAAAATGAAAATTAAAGGAATGGGACTAAATTCAGAAAAATCTTTCACATTTTTGTAGGAAACTAAAAAGAATCGATACCATCCCAATTTAAGAAGACAACAAATTTGATTTTAAATGATCAAGGTGAGGAAAGATGAAATTTTACAAGTCATTCTGCAGTTTGTTTTTTAATCTGTGAAACTTGTGATGTAAAATGTAAGTCTAAGAAATCATTTCAACAAGCCAAGCAAGGTCAAAGAGGAATAAACTATATTTGATATTTTAAATTACATATCTAACATCATGATCATATTTTCTTTTTATAGTTCTTTTTTCCAATGTTGGTTTTTCCTCCTTATCCAATGTTGATACTATATTAGATTTTGCATGAAAATGGAGCATAAAATGGGCCATAGCTACTTGCTTTTAGGATAATTTAATACCAAGTGAAATATAAGGACATTAAAGATAGGAGAAAAAGTTCAGAGCAACCTTAAAAAATATAACCACACCTTCCAGCTGGCCATGAGATTATGTGAGTTGTATAATTAGGAAGTATGTCTGCACCTGCCCCTGGTAGTAGGTTAAGCGCTGTAGCTTATAACAACAGCTGGATGTCAGATTACTTGTGTCATCTACAACCTTGAACACTCACCTAACTGATACTCAGTTCTTCCATCATAAAATAGAGGGATTTGAACTTGGTGAAATGTAAAATGTTTTTTGCTTTGCTAATTTGTATTTGTATGCTTTAATTTAACAAAGAACAAATCTTCATGAAACCATGTAGTTACAAAATAAAATGATCCTATTTTTTATTTTAGTCTGTTCAATTTCTTAATATTCAGTTACTGGCTGCCCACTATTTCATCCTATATGATAATATGGATATACTATATGATAAAAGTATCATACTTCATCTTCACCCAACTTCAAGAGATTTATTTACCTCATTTTACAGTTGAAGAGATTGGGGCTCAGAGATTAAGTAACTTGCCTAAATTCGCAAGCGTTTATGTTATAAATGCCAGCTCTCTGGGTTCAGACCCTTCAGTGCTGTGAAACTGGTTCACAAAAATGCATATACCCTATGCTAGCTGGTACTGTAGCTAATCCCAGAAAAGAAATTCTGTTGTTTTGGTGTGGGCTCCAGGACTATGGACAAAGGATATTTACCTTAGTGAAATGAATGAAAAAAGCACTGCCAAACTCCTCATCACAGCTTGCCATATTAGACCCTAATGATCAATACATCTTGCCAACAATCAATAGTTGCTGCAATACATTGACTCACAAAACAGGGATAAAATAATACTTATTGATTTTTATGCTGTCTGAAGGAGGTCTATGTCTTGTTGCCTGTGACTGAGAACATCCATGATTTACAACACTTAATTGAATGTGTCAATTCTTTAGACTAAGACAATTTCCTATGGACGGGCAAGCTGGAGGACTACTTGTTTTACTGCTTTTCTGAGGTTACCCAATGCATTAAAATGAAATGGTGCTTGGCAAGTCCTAGCTGCCCCTTTAGGATTTACTATTAGGTTTATTGGCTCTTTGAAGGAATATATTTGGTGTTTGCCCCAAGTACCTTACCCATAATCACTAAAACCTCCACCACTCTTTATTCCTATCTTTATTTTTTGTTACCTTGATTATACTTCCAATAACTTGCTTCCTGAATCAGTAAGTAGAGCAGTGAATGTGAGTCTGTAGAATCAGAATTCTAGTTGAAATTCTATTTACGAACCATATAACTTTAGGTGATAACCAGATGCTTAAATTTCTGGAGTTTATTTTCGAAAAAAAAGAAAGCAAAGAAGGAAGGAGAGCAGTAGGAAAGGAAGTAATGAAGAAAGGAAAGGATGAGGAAAGAAAGAAGAAACACAAACACTTGTTATGTTCACCTCACAGAAACGGTGGGAAAATCAAATGATGTGGATCATATTAATCAAAATCAAACGAAGTGGATCATCACTTTTAAAGTCCCAGAATGTGGTAAAAATGTTAGTGTTGGTATTATCATTGTTGTACATATTTATACTCAATCAGGAAACGCCACTGGTAAAACAGAGTAAAGTTCAGAATGTGATAGCTCTTAATGCATGGTAAAAGACCATATCTAAACCAACTTATGGAGGTTGATACCTGAACAAGTTTGTAATGTCAAAGTCATAAATCTCTGCCTCAACAAAGCAGGTAAACCAAACTTTGAAGGTAGAATGGGCCATGTGTTCTGAATCTTTGTATTTTATTTTACAATTTTTTAATACTCTGAGAAAGACCTTGACAAATATTTCCAAATGAATCAGAGAAGATTGAGTTGCCTTTCTAGCATTACTAAGCTGCACAACCAGTTCCTTAATTTTTCCTCTATCACAGAAGTCAAATAGAAGTTATAAAGTTAGTAGGACATCTGCATTTCCCTACGTGCAATCCTATGCTATTTTCAGTAAGAAGGGTGTCATTTTCTGTATATGAATCTTGGATCTTTGTCATTTGAAGATAAAGCTCTTGATAGCCTCATGTACATTTAATAGGCCCCTAGGTGTTATCACACATTTGAGATTAGACACATTTGATTCAGAAATAAAACTACCTCTGGAAAGAGTATCCAGTTTTGCATTTAGCTTTTCAATAAAATTCTTCTCAGCCTTGTGAACTGACATTACCATATAAAAAATACAGCATCCAACAACACTACTGCAGACTCCTGCAGGCACGATACCTTGGGAGGATTATACCTCTAAAGCACTACAGAGTTAGCAATGCACTTATTCTGAAAAACAATTGCAAACTACTCTGTCGGAAAAAAGCAAACTTTCTGATAAACAACACAACCACTGCTTGTCAGCTCTTTTTCTAGCCTAATAAGCAATGCTTGTTTTTTTCTACTTCTTTCCAACTTTGGTTGCAAATTTTAAAATAAAGATCTAGTGTTTTTTTTTCTTTTTGTAACTCAAAGATTTTGAGGATTTCAAGACTAAAAGGATATATCAACCCCTTCCTTTCTTCTCCCCACAGAAATGGAACTAAGTTCCAGAAAAACAACAACGAAAAGAGACATACTCAAGGTCACTCATGAGTGAGTAGGTGTATCAGGTTTAAAATCTGGGTGTCCTGAATCGTAGCCCAGTGTCCTAGGATTCTCCTTTAACATACAGCTGTTTTGACCATTAAATTTTAATGTGTTTTTCCGGATATTATCATTATTGACTTGGTGTTAATTATGTATAAACACAGGTCATGAGTGTTTCGGAGGTTTTGTGACATCATGTAAAATTAAATTTGTGTATGTGTGTGTGTGTGTAATATTATTAATAGATATAATTTATTGAGTTTTAGTATGTGCAGATAATTTTAATAAGCCTTATACATATAGTAAATCATTTAATTTTTGGAATCTTTTGAGCTTGATACTATTATTATTTATATTCATACCCAAATTATTCATATGGAGGAGAAAAGTTATGATTTAATAAATTAAGTAATTTGGACCATATAACATAGCTAGTAAGTGGCAGAGCCAAGATTCCTTAACCCAGGTCTTTAACTACTATGAACTGCTACCAATGTTTATAAACACATCAAGTGAAAATACATGCATCCTACAAACTTTCACAAGTAATCCTACCTTTATTAGTTTTAAGAAAAAATTCCTGCATTTCTACCAGTTGGAGAAGTAACAACCAAATGCATTTAATTCTAATCAAGCTAAAAATCCGACTGTGTTACATTTGTTCTTTAAATACATTTCAACCAATTTCAAAGACATTCAATATTAAAAGACATTCAAGAATTGTAGTTAAAATTGGACTCTGACAGGCCACATTAGTTCATTGCTGACTTTCCTGCTTTTCTTACATCTGAAATTACAACAATTTCAGATGTAAGAAAGTTAAGGTTAAGTTGAGGTTAAGTTACAACAATTAAACCTCATTTATGTACAATCTGGTACTCCTGCTTGGCTCTGTTCTTTGGTTCAGTTTTTAACCCTAGCCATAATTTCAGTGTACAAATTTTGGAAATGAATGTTGTCTGCATAACGATGTCAAGTTGCATCTGGTGACCAACAAATAAGAACTACACTTTGAAGAGTTCTGAATATTCTATTGTCACCTCCATTGCTACACAGGATCTTATATATATACTGTAGGACTACTATGATCCTGCAGTATAAAAGCTTCCAGAGAAAATTCCAAAAATCAAAGGAAATATTCTGAGTAGATACTGAAAGTCGAATGGAAGCAAGAATTTCAATTTCTGAAGGAAACAATAATTTTGTTGTTCTATAACTTCTTAGTAGCAAGAAAAACTAATAAAAGGGATTGGAGGTTATTCTGACATCAATTTCAGTAGTTTCTTATCTAACCACCACTAGTCAGATTCCTTTTGAGTTAGACATGACTTGGTTAGAATAGTCAGAAAAACAGACATGGCCCTGACTTCATGAAGCACAGTCTAATGGGATCTGAGATTATTTCTTCAGTAGAATGAAACTTTTAAGAACCAAGAGTAGAAAATATTGTATTAATTCTCCTTCTTACATTAATGTAAACATTAATGTTCTCAAAAGTATCCATATGGTATTTGGCCATAAAACTTCATAATTTACTACAAAGCAAACTTGAACATAAGCTACAATCACTCTCCTCATTTTATAGTAGAAATGTGACAGTAAAATATGTAGAACTCTTTAAACAATGATTCTTATTTGCTGGCAAGCAGACGCAACTTGATATCTATAGACAGACAACATCAATTTCTGGAGTTTGTATCCTGAAATTATGGCTAAGAGTAAAAATTAAACCAAAGAGCAGACCTGAGCAGGAGCACCAGATTGTACATAAAGTGAGATTCCATTGTTGTGACTTAACAGTTAGCAAACAGCAAATACACCATAATACCTCAGATGTAAGAAAAGCAGAAAAGTTAGCAATGAACTGATTTAGCCAATCAGATCAAGAAAGCCAAGTTTTAACGCAATCCTAGTGAGAATCTTTATTAACACTGAAAAAAATTCTTTAAAATAGATTAATAGAATAGAATACAACATGATCTGTTTTTAATGCAAACCTCAGACTCATTAATATGAGGCAGAGACCCTCATATTATTTTCTGTAATTCTTTCAATTTTACTACTAAAGATATTTTGCTTCTTACACTTTCCATAACATGATTTTTTCCATAAAATGTATTTAGCTATGAAATCTCACACTTTCAACACAATTCTTATTTAATTTGAACCATAGCTCATTCGAGTAAAGTCTTAGCAAATATATAAGCATGAAAAATAAGTAATAATATACAATTAAATAGGCTATGGCTTTCATTTCTTGTTTATATACAAAGTACTTTCTATTTTATGTTGTAGTTAATGCTCAGAATCAGAACAAAAATTTCTGTACCAACCAGGCAGTATTTTGGACTTTGCAAGCCATATAGTCTCTCTTCTAGCTACTCAATTCTGTGTTGGGAGTGCAAAAGCAAGCATAGACAGTGTGTAACCTAATGGATACAAGTGTGCCCTAATAAAAATTTATTCATCAAAACAGTCACCTGGTCAGATCTGGCTGACCCCTGATCTAAAACATCAATAATGTTTTGGCCAACACGAGTTAAATAGAGATAAGCATGATCATCAAGATCATTGTTCCCTGAATTCCAGTTTAACAAATAAAATATTCCAATGTATATCTTTGAAGATAAAAATTTAATAATTTTTAGATTGGAAAATAAATATATAGACCATTAAGAGTAAAAAAGGTCTTTCAATTGTAATTTAGTAAGCATTCTATTTACGAAAGTATTTTCTCTGTATTTTTTACAAAAATATACAGAACTAATACACAATTGTCAAAAGACCACACTTCTCTTGATACATCAAATCAGAAGCCTGAAATTATAGAAATGTAGTGCATTATATACTTTAATATGAAAACAACCATCTAGTATAGATATTTCATTTCACATTTGAAATGTATATTTAGTAAAATAATGCATAATAGCATGGGATACCAGCTTTGTTTTAATTTGCCTAGATTGAATTATAAGAAGCACTTTTTCTTATCCAAGGACATAATTCTTTCAAACTGACACAAGTGGCATTGTTATTTATTTTACCTTATATCCCATCCAACTAATGCATCTAACTTAAGTTTCCCAGTATTAAATAAATCAACCTGGGGGTGATAAGTTCTTATTTAAACAGAAAAAATAAAAATTTCATACCCAAATTTATATATATATGTGTGTAGAGGTGAGTGTACACATGCACATATCTACATGTATGACAACGAAATATTGCATGCTGTTGATAAGGCTGGCCTAGTTGATATAAATTCTTTTCTCCTACAATTTCTGAGCTTTTGCCTTCTTCTCAAAGGTACATTTGATATAACCAACACAGGAGTTACAATTCAATGAAAGACTTTCTAAATCTTCTAAAATGTATATGGTATATGTATTCCAAAAGACATAACATATTTTGAGATAATTTCTGGAAATCTTGAACTTCATGCACAACTAAACCATTCTTAGCTGAGTGGATCAACATGATAATAAAAATTGTTCGGTAAAGTAGACTGGCAATTCAATGTGTTCAAAATGGTCAAACCAATTGTGAACTTAGACTACCATAGTGGGAGAGCTTTTGTGACCCTCAGTCTTTAGGTGATCAAGCCTCTGAATGTAAGTCATGTCCTGGTTTAGTATTGAATGGAGACAAGTTATCACTCTAAAACAGGTGTATGAGGCACTATCACACACATTGTGTCAGTTAAGCTGTTTTATTCTGAGTGTAGATGCTCTTATTATGGAAGATCTCTTATTTGTAATGATATCATTTATATTTCAATTAAGGGACAACAGAGTTTAGACACAGCATGTGCTGATGATTTGGCTTACTACATTCAAAGAAGTTTTTTTTTTTTATTTCTATAAGACATCCAAAGCACCTCATGCATACATTGAAATGGAAATGCTAGCCTAAGTTGTAAAGTTAAAAGACAACCATCTTCTGATAGTTATATAATCTTTGTTCATTTGGCCAAGAATCAAAAATAGTAATTGAATATAAGAATCCCATTGACAATAACCATAAAAACTATAAAGTACTGAAGTATAAATTTAACAAGAATTATGTAAGACGTATGGGCACAATTTAGTAAGAAATATGCAAGACCTACATGGAGAAAACTAAAATTTTACCGAAGAACATAACAGAACATGTATAAAACAGGAAACATACCGTGTCCTTCAATAGAAAGAACCAATCCCGTTGAGAAGTAAATTTCCTTCTGTATTCCTCAATAAATTTTAAAGCAATTACAACAAAAATAGGGGTAGCATTTTTAAATTGCCAAAACTTAAAGATTGTATGGAAGCATAACTATTTCATAATGGCCAAGTATAATTAAGTAGAAACATAATAAGATATCTGTCTTACATTTAACGTTAGAGTAATTAAAACCACATAGTGTTGGCACAAAAATAGGGAGAAATATTAATGAAGCAAATTACAGGGTAGAAACACAGACCTAAGGACAAGAAGGATTTCCTATGTGGTAAAGAACATTTCAAATTAGTAGTGAAAGGACAGATTATTTCAGTAAATTTTATTATTACAACTATCTGTCAATCAATCTACCTACCTGTCTACCTATCAGTATTTCTGCTTCAGAACTTACCCCAAAATATATTTCAAATGAACTCAAATTTTATATGAAAATTTTCATAAAATACTGGAATAATATCTGAATATTTATTTTTTAAAAATATTGGTGTGGAGTTTTCAAAGTCTGAAAACCAGGATCAAAAATCATAAAGTAAGAAATAACCCTATTTTGGTGTGCATAAATAAAAACCTTCTGGACAATCAAATATATTATTCACAAAGTTATTATACAAGGAAATAAGTCTGCAATATGTGATATAGGCTCAATAGCCTTAATACATAAAAAGTTACAACAAATCAATAAGAAAAAAATGAATTGTCCAATAGAAAATAAATTAATAAATGACATAAAAAGGCAACTCAGGGAGAAGAAATACAAATGGCCTATAAACACGGAAGAGTGTCTGAGATAGTTAACTGGCAATAAAATTTAGTTAATCATGGAAATTAACTATTTTACAGATTAGCAAAGATGAAAAGAATGTATATACTGACAGAAATGCCCAGGACTGAGAGGTGTGACACAGGTGGTGTGAATATAAACTAGCACACTTTTAAGGAACCGTGGCTTTGTAACAAGTATCAGTGCCTAAAATATACATGTTCTGGGGTCCAGTAATCCAACTCCTAAGAATTTACCAAAGAAAATAATTTTACAAATGCATCAAATATGAATACACAGGAGTGTTTAATATAACTTAGTTCACAATAGCCAAAGAACCCAAATGATCATAATGTCCATGAACAGAGGACTGATTGAACAAGTATGCTGCATTCACACAAGGGAATTCTATGCAACTGTTATAAAAATTATAGATTACATCAAGAGATGTTCACAAAACATTAAGAGCAAAAATCATATTTGAAACACAATATATAACACATTTTATTTCATGTGCATTCATGTGAATTCCTATGAAGTCTGAAGATACTGTGATCGTTTTGCTAACAGTAGTTGTATCTGGGTGATGACACTGAGATCTTCATTTTCATTATTGTTTATTATGTTTACCGATTTCTACAGTGGACATAAATAAGTAACAAAAATGATTCTGATAAAAATATGCCAGAATATTAAGAAAATTATGCAACAAGGAAATTTACCTGCTTTACAAAGTAAACATAATGGCTTTCATTTAATTTTCATAATTTCTAAATATAGAAATAGTTTTCTAGAATTTAAGAAATTTGTACAGGTTTAAATATCATCAGTGACAAATTCAGGACAATGCCAGGACTGCCAAGTCTCCTGTCTTTGATACAAATGTTGACCTTTTCAGAATAATTACAGAAATAATTTATCAAAAAATGTAATAACATCTTTTAACCTAAGGATTGTTTGCTTTCCAAAGAAATACAGAACTTGGTTATTATTTTTAAATATTAGGCATATATGTAGTATTATACATATGGTACATCTAAAATGATTTTGTTATTAATTTTTATTAATCCAGTTGAATATTTGATAAAGCAGAAAAAAATAGATTAGAAACTTTTTTGAACAACAGATTATTCCCGATCTTAAAAATCACAAGTGAATTCAAACTAAAGTCTTTGAATTGATCTTGAAATACAACACAATTGTTATTTCACACAAAGTTTAACATCAGTTTACTAAGTATTCTGAGATAGGTATGCCACCTCATTAAAATAACATGTATGACATGAAGGGCTGCATCTAAAAGTCTCTTATAAAATTTAATCAAAACATAATTTTGCTCTTAATTCTCAGGATTAGCATATACTTTTTTTCAGAATGGATTTTTGGGGCAAGAATTGCATTGATTCTCCAGTAATGAAAGATGATTTACAACAACCAAGAAAAAAGTCAATTATAATTTTTCAGTGTATACACAAATTTAAATGATGCTGCAACAGTGATAATTACTAGTTGACTTAATTTCAAAATGACTTAGACTGTGTACTTCTACAATAGTACAGATTTTATTATTTACGTTCTATTTGTTCGATTTATGTGGGTTTCCCAAAAGTCATTTAGGAAGCTGGCATGCTGACTACTAACAATCAACCTGGGAGACTATGTTGGAGGCGATTCCATTTGAAAATTTCACATTTTCTTTCCCTTAACATCAGAAGAACACAAAATAAATGGGATAGGAGAAAAATCGGGCCCAAATCCCAGCTCCAGCACTTTCTAGCTGTAGCATAGGAGGTTTGTATTGTCTTGGTTCTCACAGGTTCTAGCTTCACAAAAATCTAACCTTCAATTTCTCCATTTGTAAAATGTGATAATCTTATTTCATAGCTTTTGAGAATGAAATAGGAAATTATTTTAAAGTTACATTTCATTTCACAGAAGTTTCTCAATAAATGGTAATAATTTTTAGTAGTGTTACTAGTCGTAATCAAATATATCCCAATTGTATGTCAAAGTTCTAATGTAATTTTTTCAAATCTCATTTTCAATTGACCCTTCTAAATTAAAATTTTGGTTTTAAACTATTAAATGGTTAAAAGAACAGAGAGAATTTACATGTATTTTGATATTTGTATTCCGTATTATTTAAATCCAAAACAACAATTCCTGATTATAAACACATTCTTACATGGTAAGTCTTTACTACATACTTTTAATATTCTTTTATACCAAACAGAACACAGCTACAATGTAAAATAGGCCTTCTGCTATTTCTCAAATACTGAATACACATTCCTTAAGGATAGTAACCACATATGTCTTTCCCTCTCTCCATCTCCCTCTCTGGATCCCTCTGTCTCTGTATCTCCTTAAAGTCCAACAGCATAAGTAGCGTTTGATTGAATTGGGTTTTAGTCTCACCTCGAGTGCACTATGCACTAAAACAACAACAAAACAGGAAACCCAGAGCTCCAGCATTGTGACTATTTTTTAAGGGAGAACATGAACAATTAAGACGTATTTTGTCCAAATCTGGGAATTTTAACACCTGGACATATTTCTAACATTTTCCTAAATGCTATATTTGACTAAAGCAGCCTAATTAAAAATGTCCCACTAAATGACAAATTACTATCTAACTGGACTACCTGGTGATAATTATCAGAGCTGGTGGTAAAATAACAAGATAAAGCCATTTTAAAACATGGTTTTCAAGCTGGCCCATTAAATAGACAGGAAGAGGTTTATGGTCTCTTAGGAAATGTACAATTATGATATTAAAACGATAGTTGATCTTTCTAAATAACCAGAGGGATATATTTGCCAGGAAATCCTACTCTGTAGTGTTACAAAGCAATTGGAAAAAAATATATCTCTTCCAATGTCTTATAGAAGAGAAATTTGCCTCAAAATTGCAGTCTAAGATAAAGCATTCCCCCAAATCTGAAGGAAATGTAAAGAAATTCTTTGCTTTTTCTTGTGGTCTATAATTCTACAGCTCTTTCCTCTGAAAATGTGGCAAGGACTTAAAATATTATGACTTTTAAAATAACAAAGGTGCCATTTTTCAGTGAATTCTGTTTAAAAAAGAATGGTTTGCTACACATGCATACTAATAGGATTCAAGTAAACACTTGTGAGCATTCTCTCAAGGCATACACCAGATGCAAATGTGCACAGCCTCCCAGATCTGCCCTACCCACGTCAGAAGCACACTGGCTTAACGGTGCTTGAAAGAGGAATGGTGCACCCAGCTGATCAAAGAACACTTCAAGAGATCTTCAGTCTATTAACTCAAATATTCATTTGGCAAAAGAAACACAAATATGAATTACAGAATAAGTCCTGAAGTTTCTTTGTCTGTATGTCAAGGAAAATAATAAACAAAAGTATCTAAATTGTGTTTTTTGGAGTATGGTGGCTTGAACAACGAAAGGCACACAGAAATGGTGATTAGATTTTACAACCTAAAAATTGGCACCTGCTCACTCATATTTAAAACTCTTTTAACATCTCTGCTTCTTAGTTTATGGCATTCTTTAAAATAATTCACAAATCATTTCATTCATGATTAATGTTAAAAGTATTTCTGGAAAAATCTACAGTTGATGAAAATTCTATATCCTCACAGAAACCTGACAATTTTTTAAAGATTATCTTTATATGCTTGTTTAAAAGCCAGCTGTTCAATTATTTAGCCCTTTGTCAATTCAGTTAACTTGTAGTTCAAAGAAACAAGAAAATTCAATACTGATTTCAAAACAAACACTCCCTCTTGAGAGGGATGAAAAACACACTCTACAAAACATTATTTTTTTTCTATGTTAATGCTTTAGACTCTACAGAGGTTTAGACTCTAGAGGTTGCAAGGTAGGAATAAATGTGACTATATTCATAGAAAACAGTAATCACTTTTGAGTGATCCATGTTACATACCTATGATCCAATATCTCCCAGTAGCAGACTAATATGCAGAACAAAACCAACTGTAATCTTCCATTATTAATCACTATATTTTTTCTATGAGAAATTAAAAAAAAAACCTCAAAACTGGTGTCAGGGTGAATATGAGATGAAAACATTACAGCTTGCTTATATTTCATCAGATCCTCTTTAAATTTCTATTTCAGATATGTTTGATAACATACACTGCATATTAATACATAAATAAATATTTATTTATTGAGTCTCCATTCTCAACAACGCTGCTTACCAGCATGTGACCTTGGACAAGTTCACTACTCAAACTTTAGTCTGCTCATCTTTAAAATGAGCACAGTTTAATAGTCCTTAAGTTATGAAGCTAATGTGAGGTTTAAGTTACCTAAAACTTACTATACATCTTCACGCAGGGTACTTAGCACATGGTAAGAGCTCAACAGTGATGAGCTATTACTAGAGACACATACAGGGATGAATGCTTGGGTGGTCAAATTTTGAATTATTTTTTACACTTTTGTTTCAATCATCACAAATTTGTATGTAACACACCCTAGGTAAATAAGCATTCATATGTATGTATATATGTGTATATCTATGTATACGTGTAGCATATCTGTGTGTATATGTATGCGTGTGTCTGTATTACCCACTCAGTCAGTCCACTTCAATTATTGTCACAAAAGCCCATATTACAACTAGAGATTGGTTAGTTGCTGTCCAATTACTTTATACATGATAATGTTAGCTTCAAATTTCACTATAAAACTACTATTCCTAAAACAGCGATCCTCCCAGAGACTACCTGAACGCCATCTCGGACCTACTGACTCGGATTCTGGTGTAGGCCCAGAAAATATAAATACTCACACTAGACTCAGATGATTATTGCACAGAAAAGTTTGAGAATCACTGTAAAAATGTATACTCAACATTTTATTTTGAGTCCTCTACCTGAGGGTTACACCCCTCTCATGTCCCACTGTCTAAGACATTCTTCTCTCCCTCAACTCTTCACTTCCCCCATAGGGCAATTAAGATGATTCTTTCTAGATTCCAGAGAGAGCCATACCTGTGTGTAAGAACTATCTCATATCTTTCTTCTACACAGCTTAATTGGTGTAGAGCCAATTAAGTTAGCAGTTGATAAATATTTCCTGGTTTCCTGATAAGACAGTCCTTCAACTACTCCTCCAACAAATTCATTCCATATTTCTTGAGCTTCTAAATTGAATGGCATGTGAGAAGTACTGGGGATGCATGCAAACACTGTCCATATATTTGTGCACCTGGACATCTCCTGTTTTTCTCTGTGGCTTATTCATGTATTGCTTTTCTAAGACACATGCCGATTCACCTTAAAGACTTCATTAATTTAATGGTTGCCTTTGTGTTAGGAGAGAAGTCATTTCATCTTCAATTGCCCAGACAATTACTTCTAGGTTAAGACCTCTTGGCAGGTAAATGGGCAGTAGATGCCAAAGTGTATAGCAAGAAAATGAAACTTGGCAATAGGAATGCCGATAGAATGTGAACAAAGAGAACAACAGCAAGAGCCAATGGGCTAAATGTACCCCCTATATTTTTCTATATAAATCATGACAAGATATTATAAACCAATTTGTCTCCTTGTGTAATAAAATATATATTTTTCAAATAAAATGCACAAAAGGAAGCAACATAAATCCTTCATTTGTATCTTTTAAAACTCACAGATATCTAATTACTTTGTTCTCTTTTAACAGTCTGTTTCAAAGTATCTTTATGCCATCCAAAAATGTAATTGATTTTGGAAAAACTAAGTAATATTAAGATGGAAACAGAGTAAAGTATAGCTGTATAAATATGAGTTAGAGTCATATAAAGCTTAAAAAATAGATTTCATTTAGATGCTATTTAAATTCAGTTATTTATTTTGCATATAATTTGCATGTTATTGTTATTGTTGCTTAAGTAAATAATGGGTTCCTTTATTTTCAAATAATCTATAGCAGAAATCTTGGCCAGTAATCTCTAAAACATATTTACTAAGACTCCTTTCTTTGCAAAAAAAAGATAATAAATTAAAATGTAATTATCAATGTGCTCATATGTTTGCATATGTTGTAAGCTCATAGAACATGGAAAAACACACAATAGTTTACATCAGTGGTAGTAGTGGTATGTATTTTTTAATAAAACTGTAAAATTATTTATGGTCTGTTAATTGCAAATGTAGACTATAATACTCTATAAAATAAGTGAATGCAATGTGTAAGATATGAATAAGAAAATAGACTAAAACTGGAAGGTAATATAGGCAAGTGAAAACACAATGTTAATGAAGTGATAGGGATATAGATAATATTTATCTTTGATGTTTGTTGGTATTTTAAAATTGTTTTTCCCACAATGTGCTAATAACCATAAATGAAAATGGTAATTAGGCACAAAAACCATTACTCAAAAAGAAAATCTCTCCTCTACTTTCTAAAAGCACAGCACAATTTTTTACAATAGTGGCTCTCAACCTGAAACAATTTTGCCCCCCAGGGTGCATTTGATAATTTTTGAAGACATTTTTGGTTTTCACCATTTCAGGGATGCCAGTGGCATCCATTAGGTAGAAGCAAGGGATTCAGTTAAACATCTTACAATGCACAAGATAGCCCTGACAAGAGAGAATTATCTGGCTCCAAATTCCAATATAGCCAAGGTAAAGAAAACCTGCTATAGAATGATTATAAAACAAATAATTGCCCTTTCCCCTCACCAGAACTAAGCCCTCCTTCCCAAGAAAAATACTTTCTCTGACTTACATTCTTGTAGGAATTTCCATGAATATTTAATCCTCTCGGGAAGAAAGAAAGCTAAAACATGCATGATGCGCTTCTGAAATATGAAATTCAAGATACTTCCCTTGTCTATTTTCACTTGCAGGGTAAATGCACAGTCAGATGCTTACTTCACACTAGAGTCAAGTCAGAGGATTGTTGAAGGAAAAAAGCAACAGTAAAGGATGTGCTGTAAGAATTAACCAAGAGAAATAGAAACTGGCACTGTCAAGTGGGTACTGCCTAAAAATAGATGAATTAAGTATTCTAGAGATGTAAACTTTATGATTAACTGTATTTATATTACGTGGAATAGAGCGAGGAAAAACTGGAAAGAAAAGAAGAAAAAACCCCAGAGAAGAAAAATACTCAACCACCTTTAAGAGAATCATATGCAGGAGCAATTTCTCAGTAAGCATAAAAATTCATTCTCATTATTGAAAATTCAACGGAAAATTAGGTCTTGATAATAAAAGAAAAAAAGAAAAAGATGTAGAATATTCATATAGTGCCCACACATATCCTAAAACTACTGAGACAGCTTACAGTTCTTGAACATATACCAGGCAACATTTCCTGATAAATATTTACCATAAATTTTTGACATTAATGGTTACCTGACAGATTTTGCTGAAGCAATAGGAAAATTATTAGACAAGTTAACAAATGGTACCCATTCACAATGAAAGAAATTATGACAGAATCAACATCTTCAACTCCTCAATGTTTTATATAAATCTTTCTTTATTGCTTGGTTTAAATTGTGCTCAAGAGATGTAATATAAAATATAAGATTATCAAGGAGAGTTATATTATTCACACTGTGAATATTATATAATGCACTGTGTATTACATTTAACACACTGTGAATAAAGTACCTACTTAAAAAAACATATATTTTAATTAAATTAAGGTTTTTTTCAAGGTGGAGTAGACAGCAGAAACAGTAATATTTGAGGAAGGATTAGTTTATTTGGTCCACCAACTGTTTCCAAAAAAATAAGAGTAAAAACAACTATAACGAAACAAGGTCCTCATGGAATGCAAATGATCAAGAAAATGGCTTTGCTACATTTTAAAATGCAGTGTAACAAGATGGCTAAGATTGAGAGATGTGAAGGCAGTCATTTGCTAGCTATGTGACCTTGAACAAATCATTTAACCTCTCTGGGCCTCAGTTTCCCCTTTTTAAATAGGCTAATAGTGGCTGTCTCAGTTTTTATAAGAGAACTGGTTAACTTGAAGTGCATTAACACAATACCTGCACAAGTTAAAAACTCAATACAAGGTAGTGCCCTGGTTTGGATGTTTGTCCTCCCCAAACCCCATGTTGACATTTGATCCCCAGTGTGGCTCTGTTGGGAGTTTGGGCCTAATGGGAGGTGCTAAGAGTCATGGGGGCAGAGCTCTTATGGGTAGATTGATGCCTTATCTGAGGAGTAAGTTCTCATTCTATCAGTTCCACTGAGAGCTAATTATTAAAAAGAGCCTGGTACCTCCCCCTACTGGCTTCCTCTTGTACCAGGTGATGTCTCTGCACAGGAAGCCGGTTCCATGTCTGCTTCTGCCTTTAGTTGAAGCAGCCTGATGAGGACCTCACCAGATGCAGATGTTCAATCTTGAAATTTCTAGCCACCGGAATAGTGAACCAAATAAACTTCTTTTCTTTATTGACTATACAGTCTCAGGTACTCTGTTGTAGCAACACTAAATGGACTAAGACAAGTAGCTATAATTATTTCCTTATATTCATGTTATGATGATGGTGGAGAATGTTGAGCGCTGTACGAAAGTTCAGGAGGGGATGAGAGGAGAAACGGAAGGGGGATGAGAGGAGAAACCGAAGGAGGAAAAGAGGAAGGAGAAAACAACAGTTCGCCAAAATTGTGCCCAAAATTGTGTGGGCATAATTTGTTTGGAATTAAGGCTGTCTGTGGTCACAGAGTGTTCACACCTCCTTTACTCCACTTTATGCTTCCTGAGTGAACTCATTCACCTATTTTCACAGCAGCCAATTTTAACCTCCTCTGATTTCAATATAAAGTGTTTAGTATGTTCACAGAGAATATGTAAGTCTTCAGGCAAGCCTTTAGTTTCCAGTCCTGCTACCCACTTTGTATCTTCAACCTACTCCTTTCTAAAGATTGTTTCTCCACCAAACTATATATGACTCTCACTCTGTCGCCCAGGCTGGAGTGCAGTGGCACGATCTCGGCTCACTACAACCTCCGCCTCCCAGGTTCAAGCAATTCTCCCTGCCTCAGCCTCCTGAGTAGCTGGGATTACAGGCATGCACCACCACGCCCAGCTAATTTTTGTATTTTTATTAGAGACGGGGTTTTGTAATGTTTGCCAGGCTGGTCTTGAACTCCTGACCTCAGGTGATTCACCCACCTCGGCCTCCCAAAGTGCTGGGATTACAGGCGTGAGCCACCATGCCTGGGTATATATGACTTTTTAAAAGCTGTTTCCCTCTCCCTACATCCCTTCAGAACCAAACTTCTCAAAAGTGTAGTCTTCGACCACCGAAACTCCTCTTGCTACATTTCACCAGTGCGCTCCTGTTACTCTATCTGGGAGAAAATTTTCATGATTTATTTCAATTGATCACTGTGGCATCTGACGCAGCTGACTATTTGCTTCTCAAACTCAGGTTTTAAGACATGATTATCTGGAGTATCTTGTACTAACTCTCTGACTGCTACTTATTTATCTCTTCTGTGAGCTCCTTTTCTGTCTTCCACTATCTAAAATACGGGGCTCACCAGATTTCCATTTTTAGCTGTCTTTGCATTTTGCCTTTTAAATTTTATGTATTCACAAAGTTAGAAGCACCACTTATATGCTGACAATGCTCAGTTCGTCTCTCTATATAACTGCTTCCTAATTTGTACACCTATATTTTCCAATCGCCTGCTGGTTGTATCCATTTGGAGATTCCATGTGCATAGAAAAAAAAAATCACCATTTCCCAAAGTGAACTCACTATCTGCCCACATGCCTCATCCCCTTGACCTCCACTCCCCTTCCTGTCTTCCCTACATCAGTAAAGGATACTATGAGAATCATGGGATTCACCAAGTCCTGTCACTTTCATCTTATAAACACAATAATTTTATATCTTCTTTTTTTGCATTCCTGTCTTAGTTCATCACATCTTCCTGAAATTTTGCAGTAGGTTTTCAACTCATCTTCCAACGTTAAATTTTGCTCCACTTCAATCCACCCTCTACACTTCAGAACCATCTTCGATAGGTGTGAATCTGTTCATGCAATTCTATTGACACTATTTCATGGGCCCCTACAGGCTTTGGACAAATATTCAATTATTGAGCAAGACACAAAAATGGTCTTCATCTTTTGATCCCCACCTACGGCTTCAACACCAAATCTACCCTTTCCTCACTCCCACTCCAGTCTTTTAAAATGACTTCCAAATCCCTAATACCATTTATTTATCCTGTGTCACACCCTCCTCTATGTTATTCTTTCTGCTTGGAACATCTATCCACACACTTCTAACCCCCTTCTTCACCTGACTCGTTTCCATGTAATATATTAGTATATTCCCACTATGCCCTGTGTATATCCTCTTTCAAAGCACTCATGACCCCACATTGTGATTCTTTCTACACTTGTTGTTCCAAATGGTGAATGCCTGACTTTGTGCGCTATGATTCTGTGTTCTATTTCCCCACATAAATAGTACAGTGTGTAGCAAATAATAAATTACTACTATAGAAGTGAATTTTTCACTCAATACTTGTGGCATTCGCCCGGGGTCAAATATCCAAACAACCATTTGTATATAAAGCAAAACCACACTGGGAGAGACACCATAACCTTGTCGTGATGTAATTTATAAACATGATGGAGGAAGACAGAATAAATACGTAAAATATAAACCATTTGAAATACCAAATACCCAGACAAGTGACAAAATCAACAAGTGACGAAGGAACTTATAGGAGACAAAGACCATGAGGCACTTACTTGGCTGCTAAGAAAGTCTTACAGAAAAGGAAAGACGTAAGCTAGGCATAAATACAGTAAGAATCTGATGTAACTATAAGAATAGTAAACGCCTACCTGGGCGGTGGTGGCTCACGCCTATAATCCCAGCACTCTGGGAGGCCAAGGGTGGGGAAATCGCTTGAGCTCAGGAGTTTGAAACTAGCCTGGGCAACGTGGTGAAACCCCATCTCTATTAAAAATACAAAAATTAGTTGGTCATGGTGGCACGTGCCTGTAGTCCCAGCTACTCGGGAGACTGAGATGAGAGAATTGCTTGGGTCCAAGAGGTGAAGGTTGCAGTGAGCCAAGATTGTGCCACTGCACTGCCCAGGCAACAAAGCGAGACAACTGTCTCAAAAGAAAAAAAAAAAAGTAAACACCTAGATAATATATTTCATGAGGTCAGGGGATGGGTTGGTCTCATTCACTACTCTGTCCATAAGGCCTAACACATGCTTGGATCATAGTAGCTGCTAAATAAGTTTGTTGAATGAAATTTTAAACTGTGCAGCTGGTGATGCAAGAAAACATCTGTTTAAAAAACAGCAGCACTTTTCTCCATTTGCCATTCCATAAAAAGGTAATTTGTGTATGTGTTTACTAGAACTCTTTCCTCAAAAGTGAAATATTGCTTCACTCTTTGGTTGGCAAATGTGTTGTTTTAAGATGGAGAAGAATCTGCTTTAAATGAAGAGGAAGCTATTTCAGTCCATAATCCTCAGAGCCAAAATTTGAATCTTAAAATGCACTTTTCATCAAAGAATCTTAACAAAAAGATTCCTGCCAATTTAACCACGACATCTAAAAATATTTCATTCCAAGGCCAAGCTTTCTGCTCAGGAGCATTCTAATTGAGACCACATTCTTCCAAAGATCTATTGAGCTGACAGTCACCTAAGTCACATGGTTCTGACACCACCAGTAGCTTCCTCAGTAAGGACTCACAACTGCATGCCATTTAGGAGTTCTGCATTTTCCTCATGATTTTCTAGATTTTCAAATTTTCCTGGAACTTCTTTATATCCAATAGAGCTACTATAACTAGCCAAGTCAGAGAAACATGGAACTTTGAGTTGCAAGCCAAGTTAATATATCCTTTCTCAATTAAAACATGGTAAAACTGAGACTTAGTAAATTATATTGCCAACCCAAGCACACTTAAGACAGCAGCTGGAGTGGACATTGGGTCTCTTGAGTTGTCTTCATTAAGTATGTTCATAGACGACCAATAAACTTACATGAAGGCATACCACAGAAAGATACTGCTGGCTCAGTTCCAGACCACCACAATAAAGTGAATATCCCAATAAAGCGAGTCTCACAATTTTTTTGGTTTCTTAGTGCATACAGAAGTTATGTTTACACTATACTGTATCTAATAAGTGTGAAATAGCATCATGTTAAAAATGTACATACCGTAATTTTAAAATACTTTATTGCTAGAAAATACTAACAATCATCTGAGCCTTCACGGAGTAGTAATCTTTCTGCTGATAGAATGTCTTGGCTCCATGTTAATGGCTGCTGACTGAGCAGGGTTGTGGTTGCTAAACGCTGGCGTGGCTGAGACAGTTTCTTAAAATGAGACAACAATGAAGTTTGCTGTATCAGTGGACTCTTCCTTTCACAAAAGATTTCTCTGTGGCATGCTATCCTGTGTGATAGCATTTTACCCACAGCAGAAATTCTTTCAAAATTGAAGTCAAACCTCTCAAATCTGGCTGCCGCTTTATCAACTGAGTTTATGTAATATTCTAAGTCCTTTGTTGTCACTTCAACAATGTTCACAGCGTCTTCACCAAAAGTAGATTCCATCTCAAGAAACCACATTCTTTGCTCATCCTTAAGAAGCAACTTGTGCATTGAAGTTTGATCATGAGATTGCAGCAATTCAATCACATCTTCAGGCTCCACTTCTAATTCTAGTTCTCTTGCTATTTCCACCACATCTGCAGTGACTTCCTCCACTCAGGCCTTGAACACCTCAAAGTCATTCATGAGAATTGGACTCAATTTCTTCCAAACTCCTGTTAATGTTGCTATTTGAACCTCCTCTCATGAATCATGAATGTTCTTAATGGTATCTAGAATGTGAATCCTTTCCAGAAGGTTTTCAATACTTTGCCCAGATTCATCAGAGGAATCACTGCCTATGGTAACTATAGCCTTACTAATTGTACTTCTTAAATAAGACTTGAAAGTCAAAATTGCTCCTTGATTTATGGGCTACAGAATGGATGTTGTGTTAGCAAGCATGAAAACAGCATTAATCTCTTTGTACCTCTCCATCAGAGCTCATGTGTGACTAGGTGCATTGTCAATGAGCAGCCATTATTTTCTTGTTGTTTTGTTTGTTTTCTAATTGTAATCTCATTATTATTATTATTATTATTATTTTGAGACAAGTTCTCACTCTGTCACCCAGTTTGCAGTGCAGTGGTGTGATCTCAGTTCACTGCAACCTTTGCCACCCAGGTTCGAGTGATCCTCCACCTCAGCCTCCTGAGTAGCTGGGACTACAGGCACATGCCACCATGCCTAGCTAATTTTTGTATTTTTTGTAGAGACAGGGTTTCACCATGTTGCCTAGGCTGGTCTTGAATGTCTGGGCTCAAGGTATTTGCCGGCCTCAGCCTCCCAAACTGTTGGAATTACAGGCGTCAGCCATTGCACCTGGTTGAGCAGTAAGTCAGTAAGAATCTTTTTTTTTTTTTTTCTGAGCACTAAGTCTCAACAGTGGGCTTAAAATGTTCAATAAATCATGCTGTAAACAGATATGCTGTCATCTGGGCTGTGGTTTTCCATTTCTAGAGCACAGGCCGAGTAGATTTAGCATCATTCTTAAGGGACCTAGGATTTGAGACAGCATTCACTTAAGGTAACCAGCTGCATTAACACCTAACAAAAGTCAACCTGTGCCTTGAAGCTTTGAAGCCAGGCATTGACTTCTCCTCTTTAGCTATGACAGTCTTAGATGTCATCTTCTTCTGATAGAAGACTCTCTTATCTAATAAAGTCTTTTGTGCAGAATAGCCAGCCATCTTCACTGATTACCTTGCATCTTCTGCATAAATTGCTGTAGCTTCTCCATCAGCATTTGCTAATACACCTTGCACTTTTATGTTATGAAGACAGCTTGTTTCCATAAACATCCTAAAGCAGCCTCTGCTAGCTTCCAGCATTTCTTCTGCATCTCCTAAGCCTTCATAGAATCAAATACAGTTAGGGTCTTGTTCTGGTAATCTGGCTTTGTCTCTAAGGGAATGTTGTGACTAGTTTGATCTTCTATCAAGAGCACTAAAACTTTCTCCATATCATCAGTAAGCCTTTTCCATTTTCTTATCTTTCATGTGTTCACTGGACTACCACTTTCAATTTCCTTCATTGACTCCTCCTTTGCATTCAAAACTTGGCTGCTTTGAGCAAGAGACCTAGCTATCTGCCTGTCCCAGCTTTTGACACACTTTCCTCACTGATCTTAATCATTTCTAGCTTTTGATTTAAAGTGAGAGATGTGCAACTCTCATTGTAGGGCTGTGAATTGGCCCAATTTCCATATTGTTGTGTCTCAGGGAATAGGGAACCTCACAGAGAGGGAGACGGACAGGGGGATGACCCATTGGTGGAACTGTCAGAACACACACAACATTTATCCATTAAGTTTGCTGTCTTACCTCAGTGCAGTTCATGGTGCCCCCAAACAATTGCAATAGTAACATCAGAGATCACTGATCACTGATCACCACAGAAAATATAATAATAATGAAACAATTTGAAATATTGTGATAATTACCAAAATGTGACACAGAGACACAAAGTGAACACATGCTACTAGAGAAACAGGCTCATTATAGACTTGCTCATTTCAAGGTTGCCACAAACCTTCAATTTATAAAAATGCAATGTTTGCAAGGCACAATAAAGCAAGCTAGAATAAAACAAGGTATATCTATATTCTGGTATTCACCCAAGATAGGTAAAATGGGACTATTACTCCCCTTTAATGAATGAGTAAAGTGAGCCCAGTCTATCTGTGAATATCCTCAGGATGACTAAGCATCAGAAGTAGAACTCGCATCTGAGACTCCTGATTCACTTCAGGGTCTTTCTATCATTGTGATTTACAAGGAGCATCACACTGACATGGACATTTATTTGTCCAGTACAAATGAGTCAATGACAATTTAAATGGTCTGGTTCCCTACCATTCTTCAAAGAAAGACATGCTATATCATAAGAGAAAGTTACAATTACCAGAGACTGCAGTCCACAAAGGATAATGAGGGATAAATGTGTCTGTTAAATCAATTTTGAAGTTTCATTTAAGTAACCAATCAACCATTCTTTCACACCTGAAGCTAATCAAAAGGCCCTAACACTCAGACCTACATACAGGGTACAACACACCATAAACATCTGTTATTTAGACACCAGAGATGGAATTTCCCATCTGTTGCTTCAAAACAAATAATCATCTTTAAAAAATAAAACAAACATCACAAAAAAATTTCTTTGAAGATAATTTTAGGTTATTAAGGTTGGAAGCTGAAAAAAATGTTAATTTTTCAACAAGTGACAATCTAGCTGGACAAATCCATGGGTGTAGCATAAGGCTAAGTAAGGAATCTGGCTTGGAATTTTCAACACTTGGTTCTAATCATTAATGTTGCAATGTTGTCCCATTTACAACCTGATATTCATTTTTGCACTTCAACATCTCATGATTTTTCAGCAACAGTAAATAGCTTTAAGTGATGACACCTTGCCTTAACTGGATCTATATTTTGACTAGCAGGTCTTGGCATTGTTTCCACCTCAGATATCTCTCCAAAATGTTGCATGTAGGCAAAAAATGAATAGAACTTAAAGGAAAGAAAAATAAAAATTCTACCACTCTAAACAATGTTAGGATATAATACCTTTAAGTTATTAGCTAACCTACTGCAGCAACCTCTAGTCATCTCATGATTATCTCTTTGGGTTCTAAATTTTTCTTGATATGTTTCACAAAATCTCATTTTGTGATGCTCTAAAGAGGGAGGTGGTGGTAAAATAAGACTTGGGACTGAGAGAAGAGCATAAAAAAAGCAAAATGCAAAAGAGAGGAGTCTGAATCAATCACGTGTAGGATGCACAGAATCACACCTGATTTCTATATTACTTTGTTTTAAACAGCATAATTTAGATTCACATTCCTGAGACATAAGAAGGTACCCACATTAAGACATCTTTTATTTTTATGCTGAAGCTCAAAATATAAACTGATAAAAGACCTTTCAAATTCACCAAAAGTGAATATTTGTATATCTGAGAAATTAAATACTATCCCAAGAAACATTCTCTAACCACACAGATTTTCATAATGTGAGGGAAATTTTTGGTTCTGAAACATCCAATATTATCTTTAGTCTGCGTTTATATTGCATGTGATAAAAACTTTCTCTAAATTAGAATATGAGAAGATTAATGTCATTAAAACATTTCAGAAATAGCAGAATTCCCTTGCATACTCATAAGGTATAAGCACAGTATTCATTTGCTTCAGAATCTTATGAAATCTCGGGATTATCTCTTATCTTTAGACAGTGTATGAGGACTATGTTGGTTACTGAGCTTCTTCTTGTTTGAATTCTGGGAATATGGAAATTTATATAATGTTGAGAACTAATTTTCAAGTCCTGAGGGGTGGCTTAGAAATGTTTTGCATAAAAGTTTATATACTATACCCCTTTATTTAATAATTAATCCAATTTCTAGACAGAACTATGCCAAAACACAACCTTCTGAAACGTGCTGTGTACTATCAGGACTGAAAGTAACACTGGAATTCTACATTAAAATGTGGCCTATCTAGAGGGACTTCTCCAAAGCATGAGATTTTAAAAACACAGAGTAGAAAAGTCACTGGAGGAATGCCCCCAAGTATGTGGGGGCGTCTGGGACGCTTGTCATCGCATTGCATGTCTGCAGTGTTCCAATATGGGCAGCAGGGGGAGCTCCCGATTGAAGCAAACCCCCCAACACGTGTTTCCTAGTTGGGAACACAGGCTTTTTCCTCTTAACACTTGCCCCAAGTCCACGGAGGCAGCCACTAAGGAGTACTGCTGTCAATTAACTGTACAAGCTTAGGACATGTGGTGAATGAATTGCTAAAGTGAACGGGGATGACACATGGGTCTGAGCCTACCTTTTAGAAACAGGATGGCCAATTTTTATTTTGGTGGGCAGGAGGGATTAAAGCAAGCAGCAAACAATGGAGTTGGGGCAGGAATGGGGGATGGGGGCTTGCCATTAACAGTAAACAGTGATCTTTGAAAGCAACGAGTGGGCATCAGTATTCCAGGGCCTTTATTAGTTTTGTTTGTAGGCTATATTCTCCATTAAATGTCAAATCAAAACTCTCCCTTCTTCCCATGACCCCACATCAAATCCAGAAAATCACTTAATGAACTGGGTTTCTCATTGAGCCTGAGGAGATGAGGCTTCTGTAGGGGGTCTCCTGCACGTGGTTGCGTTTTACACATGAATGTGTGATGCATTTTACTCCAAGTATCTGAACCAGGTTGAAAAAATCCTTAGGGACCAGAAAGAGTCAACTCTCTAACCTCAACACAGGGTATTCTAGGGTGAAATTCCATGCTCTCACCCCCACCTCATACACATAGCCAAGCACACCCCCACCCCCAATAGCTGGCTCATTTCTCCTTCCTGTCCCCAAACGAAAGTTTGCAAAGAAGTAGTCATAAATGTCAATACTCACCATATTGACTTCAGAAACCATATCGATGCTGGCAATGTCAATGTTCATCCCCACAGCCACGGGGGGACCTGCAAAGCAAGACGGCCAGCCACGTGATTTCTTTGAACTTCATTCATTCTCAGCAAGAGTTATCCCTGAGCATAAGACACTCTGCCCAAAACCCTTCTGCACTACTCAATCTCAAATTTTTCAATTCTCTGCTTTTTTTGTTAAAAAAAAAAAAAAAAAAGGTAGCAGGCACACACTCCTCTAACAAATGCTGTATTGAATATGCACACACGTATGCTGTGAACAAGGGATTCCAGCTCTGTCTACATATGCATATGTCTCAGCATGTGAATGCACACAACTCACAGAAGCACAAGAATCCTTCTAGTCTAAGGGATTTTTATATTTTGCGCTGAAACCCCCTCCTCCTCAGTCTTTCCCACCCCCTTCTGTGCACAGGTTTTAACTCTTTGAGCTTCATAAGAGTCTGAAGCAATATTAAGTGAGTCTATCAGCATATCTAGGGCTGCAGCCAGAGAGAGATTCTTCTTTCCCCTACCTTCTCTAACCCTCCCATTTTCTCCCTACCCTCCCATCCCCCAGTCCTCCCCATTTCTGTGAGGCTGGGAGGAGTGGATTATATCCAGACATGAGCCACTGTAACCCTGGCCAGAAGAACTCTTCCAAAGTAGGCAGGCACAGGGGGTTAACGCCACCTCTCAACCAACTGCCTGCACGTCTTGTCCTAAAAAATGTTAACGGTGGCCTTCCGCAAGCCGGGTTCTCTCGGCACACCATTAACTAAACTTAAGAGGTTTGTGTCTCAACAAAGCAAAGGCAGGGAAGCAAAGGATTCATAACAGTGAAGCTGAAAGACAGCAGTCACCAAATTTGAGTACACACTAAGAGGGTCTCATTGAAAGACCACGGAAGTGGTGGGTAGCAATAATCCAGCTTAAGTTTTGATCAGTTTCTCAATATGGTAAAATAGAGACACATTCAGGACACCACATGCACCCACAACTAGGGAGAGGGAAGAGAGCGCGCACAAAGCTCAAAAGACAGCTTCGGCTGTGGCTGGACTTATTTGCAAGGCAACCCCATTACCTCCAAAATCTGGTCTCAGACGAATGTCATAGCCTTTCAGGAGTCTATCCACCGTCTCTTTAACCAGCGACATATTACTAGGGTCATTGACACTAAAGAAAGAAATGACAATAAGCAGGCATCAATAAGGAAGCAGGCATAGCGTTTTCAGCATCGGATCCCTACTACATTTCCCTGCTCACAGAGGTATGCAGACAGAACCCTTCAAAGTGAGAACGGAAAAGAGAAACGCTGGGCACACTTACCTCTGCGCACAGACAGCGGCGATTATTAAGGGGAAGGACCAAATCCCAAAGTAGCCCCTTTTCCGCACTCTCCACATCCCTTTAGTTTTTGATGGAATTGAGGGTTTCACTGAAGAGAGGAGATCCAACTTAGTCTGCCCAGTGCAGTAATTCTAATGTGAGGCGCATGCGCACGGCGTACCAAAACATCAAAGGGGAAGCGGCGGCTGCCGGGGACCGAGCAGATTTCCTTGTTTAAAAAAAAAAAAAAAAATTAAAAGGGAAAAAGGAAAAACATGTATATGTATAATACATACATATTTGAATAATATAGAAAAGTCACCCCACAGCAGCATCCAGAATAAAATTTTTGTTGTTATCCTTTCGTTAAGACAAAATAACTACAGCGTCTGGTAAGTTTCGGTAGTTGCAAGAGGCAGTTTTGCACCGAGCGGGTTGTGGGTTTTTGGTGTGTGTGTGTGTCCTTTTAAATATGCAAAACCAGATTAGAAAATTAGAGGAGAGCAGGTGTGGCGTGCCAGCGGAAGATAGGTGCCGGTAAGCCCACTTCTGGTCTCAGCCGGACACGGGGCAAGGAGTTTGAACTTTATTTCCTTGGCAAATAGCATGCCCTGCCTGGGGCGAGACTGGGATGGGGGGGGCGGGGGTTGTGCAGCGGGTGGGAGGAGGGGGGAGGGGGCGTTGGGAGTCGAAGCGGGAGGGAGGGAAAAAACCAATGGGAGGAATGCTGAGCAACCCGTTGGATTTGGGGCGGGGGGTTGGGGAGGCGGGTACAGAATAAGAAAGGCACGGAAAAATAAAAAAGGAAGAAAGAGAAAGAAAAGAATAAAATAATGGCTGGTCTCTTCTAGTAGTCAAAGAGCAAGCTTTTCTTCACTACTCACGAGCGATTTCTTTCTCCTCTCCTCACCCTTTGCCCCCTATTCCCAGAGAAGAAAACCTCGGGGTCCTGTTTTCTCGCCGTGTGACGTTCCTGACCCGCTAGTCCGGGTTATTTATAGCAGGAGGGGAGGGGGGCGAGGGGAGCAGAAAGGCAATGCTGTCTCTCCAGGTTTCGGTCTGATTCTGCAGTGGGAATTATTAGTGGGCAGGGTGGGGTTTGCATGAGGGGGAGATGGGACGTGGAGGCGTGAGGGATGCGGGTGACGGGCGCCCTAGCGCAGGTGCGGGGGACTGGAGGGCGTGGGCGACCGCACAGAGCAGGAAGGGCAGGTGGCCGGGTGGGACGCGCCCCGGCCGGTCCCCCAGCGCCCCCTCCGCTGCGCGCACCCGCGCGCACACACGTGCAGGCGCACTCCCCACCCGCCGCCATCCCTCCTTACCTCGCAGGCCCGCGCTCGCCGCCCACTCCCGCGGCGTGCGGAGCTGGCGCCCCCGGCCCCTCGTCCGGGACAGGGGACGGGGACTCCCGGCTGTTCAGGGGCTGTACCTCTGGATACAAGAAGCCGGAGCGGTCCCTAGAAGGCAGGCAAAATGAGGAAGAGCCCCTCACCTCCGGAGGCACTGTGTTCTCCCGCGGTCTCCGCGCCACCTCGTCCTCTTCTTCCCTTCCCCGCGCCCAGGGGACTCGCACACCCAGAGGCTGCCTCTTCCCTTCCTCCTGAAGCTCAGGCCGCCTCGCCGTGGCCGCCGGGACCCGGAGGAGGCAGCAAGCTTGGGGTGGGGAAATTGGGGGAGGGAGATACTCAATTCACAAAAGAAGTCTTCCCTCCGCTCCAGGGAAAGAGAGGAGCCACGGGCGGCGTGAGGTGCTACGAGTCTGGGGACACAAGGCCGTCCGAAGGAACCGGAGTCCACACCAGCGGCTCTCCGGGTACTCCTGAGTTTATCTTGGAACTGGGGAAGAGGCGGGAAGAGTAGACGTTCCCGCTACCCCTCCCCCAACCCCACCCTGGGTGAAGAACTGGAAAGGCCAGAGCTCAAATCTCTATTCTGGACCCCAATGCTTAGCCTCTCACTGCTGCTGCCAATCATGGTCACTATTAAGTGAGTTCCTACTTCGTGCCAGAGCGCTGCATTCATTAATTCTGACAACAGTTCTAGCGTTTAGCTATCACTTCAGTGTCCCCATTTTATAGATTCAGAAATTGTCTCACTGAAGTCAAGAAGCTCGCCCAAGGTCACTCAGATGGCATGAGGTGAAACCAGGATTGGACTTCAGAGCCAGCGTTCCTAACCACTGAACTAGACAGCCTACACTCCGAAGTCTCCTGAGTCAGCGACCTTGCCCGCTGCCAGCGCTTTGCTGTGGCGGGTCAAGCTCCTGGCGCCCGAGGAGCCCGCGGCGGCTGCGGGTGGAGTTGAGCGCGGACCGCACGAGCTAGACCCGGCCGGTGTCTGCGGAGAGGAGGGGTCGCCGGCCCGCAGAGTTGGCGGCAGGCGGCGGAAGTAGCTCCACAGGCTTGCGACCCCGGCAGCCCTGGGGGCTCCTCAGGGTCCTGTTCCGTGCTGCACTCTTGACCCACTTACCTTCTGATAACCTTTCCCCTCCCCCACCTTGGTCAGAGGGTCATCTGGGGGTAGTTTGTGGGGATGACTCCGGGGGAAGTGTGGAGGCGGGAGGGCTTTAAAAGGGGGGAATCCGACAGCTCCTCTGGGATGGATGATAAACAGGAAAAGAAAGCCGAGTTCCTTCACCGACCAAGGGAGTTTCTAGGTTAGGAACAGGTAAAGCCCAGCACCATGAACATACTGCTGATCTACCGCGCGGCGCTCTATAGACTCCCAGGCTCATAGGAGCCCATCCAAAGACGCGCGCTTACTCACACACACGCACACACACATACACACGAGGGTGGGGGAGGAAGGTCTGTAAGTCTCCCATCTGCAGTTACTTGGGTTTAGCGTTACCTCAGAATGTAGAACTATAGCCAAGGAAAACTGCTGATTTTCCTTTCTCTTTACTCCTATACACAGTGAGAATCTTTTGCACCAGCTGAGTAGAATGATGGGTAGGGGGAGGATCGGGGTTGGGGGGGTGGTTAGGGCATTATCAGCATGATGTCCAGAAGATTCCTAAAGCAGTTTAGTCTCAAGTAACAAAATGATGAAGTCCTAAAATGCTCCCCTTCCCCTCGAACCTCTAACACATCTCAAAATAGGGTTTTCCTTCTGACCCTCAGTTACCCACGTTTTTCTTTCTGCACCATCAGCCCCTTCTACCTAGGCTCGCTTCAGTGTAAGTTGAGAGAACAAAATTCAGTAGACAGAACAAACCACAAATACTGTCACCCATCTATAATGATAATAATAATAATAATAATGGCCCAGGGAATGATGAAACAAGTATATATTAAAGGTCTACTATATACAGAAAGTTAAGAAAGAGAGGGGCAAAGAGTTAAAATAGCTTGCATGTCAGCAAGTAAAATTGTGTAGTGTAAACTGAGAGCATAAAAGAACCGGAGGTAAATCTTTGGGTTCAAAACCCAGGTCAAATACTTAGTAACTTTGTAACTCAGGCAAGTCATTTAACCTCTAAGCCTTAGTTTCCTCTTCTGGAAAACTGAGAAGGAAAAGAATACCCTCTCCACTGGATTGCTCTAGAATGAGGTACATATAGGTGTAGTATTTGGCTGTGATTAATAAATATTAGTAATCTTTTAATGAATAAGCCATAATGAATGTACAGGAAAACAAACAAGGTTTAGTGTCACTCAGCTATACAAACTGAGTAGATATAGATTTGGTGCCATTATTATTATTATTTAAATATACTTTAAGTTATGGGATACCTGTGCAGAACTTGCAGGTTTGTTACATAGGTATACACGTGCCGCGGTGGTTTGCTGCACCCATCAACCGGTCATCTACATTACGTATTTCTCCTAATGCTATCCCTCCCGTAGCCCCTCACCCCCCAACAGGCTCTGGTGTGTGATGTTCCCCTCCCTGTGTCCATGTGTTTTCATTGTTGAACTTCCACTTATGAGTGAGAACATGTGGTGTTTGGTTTTCTGTTCCTGTGTTAGTTTGCTGAAAATGATGGTTTCCAGCTTCATCCATGTCCCTGCAAAGAACATGAACTCATCCGTTTTTATGGCTGCATAGTATTCCATGGTGTATATGTGCCACATTTTCTTTATCCAGTCTATCGTTGATGGGCATTTGGGTGGGTTCCAAGTCTTTGCTATTGTGAATAGTGCTGCAATAAACATACATGTGCATGTGTCTTTATAGTAGAATGGTTTATAATCCTTTGGGTATATACCCAGTAATGGGATGGCTGGGTCAAATGGTATTTCTGGTTCTAGATCCTTGAGGAATCACCACCCTGTCTTCCACAATGGTTGAACTAATTTACACTTCCACCAACAGTATAAAAGCATTCCTATTCCTCCACATCCTCTCCAGCATCTGTTGTTTTCTGACTTTTTAATGATCGCCATTCTAACTGGCGTGAGATGGTGTCTCATTGTGGTTTTGATTTGCATTTCTCTAATGACCAGTGATGATGAGCTTTTTTTTGTATGTTTGTTGGCTACATAAATGTCTTCTTTTGATAAGTGTCTGTTTATATTCTTTGCCTACTTTTTGATGGGGTTGTTTGATTTTCCCTTGTAAATCTGTTTAAATTCCTTGTTGATTCTGGATATTAGCCCTTTGTCAGATGGACAGATTGCAAAAATTTTCTCCCATTCTGTAGGTTGCCTGTTCACTCTGATGATAGTTTCTTTTGCTGTTCAGAAGCTCTTTAGTTTAATTAGATACCATTTGTCATTTTTCACATTTGTTGCCATTGCTTTTAGTATTTTAGTCATGAAGGCTTTGCCCATGACTATGTCCTGAATGGTAATGCCTGGGTTTTCCTCTAGGGTTTTTATGATCTTAGGTCTTACATGTAAGTCTTTAATCCATCTCGAGTTAATTTTTGTATAAGGTGTAAGGAAGGGGTCCAGTTTCAGTTTTCTGCATATGGCTAGCCAGTTTTCACAACACCATTTATTAAATAGGGAATCCTTTCCTTATTGCTTGTTTTTGTCAGATTTGTCAAAGATCAGATGGTTGTAGATGTGTGGCATTATTTCTGAGGCTTCTGTTCTGTTCTATTTGTCTGTATACCTATTTTGGCACCAGTACCATGCTGTTTTGGTTACTGTAGACTTGTAGTATAGTTTGAAGTCAGGTAGCATGATGCCTCCAGCTTTGTTCTTTTTGTTTAGGAATGTCTTGGCTATACAGGCTCTTTTTTGGTTCCCATTGAAATTTAAAGTGGTTTTTTTTCTAATTGTGTGAAGAAATCAATGGTAGCTTGGTGGGCATAACACTGAATCTATAAATTACTCTGGGTAGTATGGCCATTTTCACCATATTGATTCATCTTATCCATGGGCATGAAATGTTTTTCCATTTGTTTGTATCCTCTCTTATTTCCTTTCGCAGTGGTTTGTAGTTCTCCTTGAAGAGGTCCTTCACATCCCTTGTAAGTTGTATTTCTAGGTATTTTATTCTCTTTGCAGCAATTGTGAATGGGAGTTCACTCATGATTTTGCTCTCCGTCTATTATTGGTGTATAGGAATGCTTGTGATTTTTGCAGATTGATTTTGTTTCCTGAGACTTTGCTGAAGTTGCTTATCAGCTTAAGGAGATTTGGGGCCAAGACAATGGGATTTTCTAAATAGACAATCATGTCATCTGCAAACAGAGACCATTTGACTTCCTCTCTTCCTATTTGAATACCCTTTATTTCTTTGTCTTGCTTGATTGGTGCCATTATTATAAGTCAGCCTGAGAATAAAGGAGCAGATATTTCATGGGAATTAAGGAAGGGTGAAGAAGAAGAGGTATTAAAAATCCAAGCAGCAATCAAACAGAGAAAAGATTAAAGAATATGCATTCTCTATGCAATAACATCTCAGGGATATCCCTTACCAACAACAGTAACTAATATAATTAAAAATACATTTCTGGCTGGGCGTGGTGGCTCATGCCTGTAATCCCAGCACTTTGGGAGGCTGAGAAGGGTGGATCACAAGGTCAGGAGACCAGACCATCCTGGCTAACATGGTGAAACCCCGTCTGTACTAAAACTACAAAAAAAATTAGCCGGGCATGGTGGCACGTGCCTATAGTCCCAGCTACTCCAGAGCCTGAGGCAGGAGAATGGCTTGAACCCGGGTGGCGGAGATTGTAGTGAGCCAAGATCACGCCACTGCACTCCAGCCTGGTGAAAGAGTGAGACTCCGTCTCAAAAACAAACAAAAAAACATTTTGACTAGTTACAAAGCTAAGGTCAACTTATGCCTAAAGTGAGTCTCAGTCATACAACAGGAGCAACACTGGCCATCTATCTGGACGACTTTGCTGACAATACTGCCTCAGAAGATGCAAAATGAGAACAATAACGTGGAATCTGGAGATGTGTTAGTTGCTGAAGAGTATCCTCCACGATCCCAAATGTAGAATGAGAAGGCAAAATGTAAGTACTCTTAACAGGCCATATTTCAAAATCATCTCAGTATGAAACATATAAATACAAGTTTAAAAAGTCACCAACCATCTTCCATTAGTCTTTAATGTAATATGGAAACATTATTCAGTAAATATGTAGCAGGCTTCTAATCTTTTTTTTAATTTTATTATTATTATATTTTGAGTTTTAGGGTACATGTGCACAATGTGCAGGTTAGTTACATATGTATACCTGTGCCATGTTGGTGTGCTGCACCCATTAACTCGTCATTTAGGATTAGGCATATCTCCTAATGCTATCCCTCCCCGCTCCCCCCACCCCACAACAGTCCCCGGTGTGTGATGTTCCCCTTCCTGTGTCCATGTGTTCTCATTGTTCAATTCCCACCTATGAGTGAGAACATGCGGTGTTTGGTTTTTTTGTCCTTGTGATAGTTTGCTGAGAATCATGGTTTCCAGTTTCACCCATGTCCCTACAAAGGACATGAACTCATCATTTTTTAAGGCTGCATAGTATTCCATGGTGTATATGTGCCACATTTTCTTAATCCAGTCTATCGTTGTTGGACATTTGGGTTGGTTCCAAGTCTTTGCTATTGTGAATAGTGCTGCAATAAACATAGGTGTGCATGTGTCTTTATAGCAGCATGATTTATAATCCTTTGGGTATATACCCAGTAATGGGATGGCTGGGTCAAATGGTATTTCTAGTTCTAGATCCCTGCGGAATTGCCACACCGATTTCCACAGTGGTTGAACCAGTTTACAGTCCCACCAACAGTGTAAAAGTGTTCCTATTTCTCCACATCCTCTCCAGCACCTGTTGTTTCCTGACTTTTTAATGATCGCCATTCTAACTGGTGTGAGATGGTATCTCATTGTGGTTTTGATTTCAAAATTGTTTTACAAGTACTGGGGGATGGTCTGCGGAAAAAGCAAACATGTGGTCCTTATCCTCTTGGATTTTACACTGTAGTGTAGGAAGGAGCCAAGAGCCATCATGGAATTTATTATATGTATAACATGTAAACTGGGAAAGATAGGAGATTGTGGAATTCATAATTGGTGCAGATAACTCAATTTGAGGATTTGGGAAAAGCTTTTTTCTGATGAAGTCATGCTTCAGTGGAAATTTCAAAGCTATGCTAGCCTGATGAAAGATTGTGGGAAGAAAGTTCCAGACAGAGGAAATAGTATGTACAAATATCTTGAGTCAAGAGAGGATAGTATGAATGAAGAATGAAGGAAGAACAGTCAGACTAGAGGACAAGGGCAAGAGTGGCTGTTGACACAGTTGAAAATTACAGACCAGGATAGGTTGAAGCAGAGGGGTGACAGGATGAGTTTTAATCACACTGGAGGAAGATGATAATGGCTGTAGGGGATCTGTTAGGAAGCTATTGCAAGAATCCAGGTGAGAGGTGATGTTGGTCTGAACTATAATAGTGACAGTGAAGATGAAGAGAAGTGACCATAGTCATGCGGAGGAAGTGGCTAAACTTTGTGACAAATGTAATGTGGAGAATGAGGGGAAAGAAGAATTCAAGCATGACTCATACATTTCTGGCTTGAGGAACTCAGTGGTGGTGGCAGAAGAAAGTTGATGAGGGTGATACATTTAGTTTGGGTCATGTTGAGTTTGGGGTACCTGATAGCCATCCAAGGTACACTAGACATTTTGATAAATGCACCTAAAGCTCAGCACCAAGGGCTGGGCTGGGGCCAGTGCAAAATCTCCATGCTCCATCTTGACAGTATATTTCCCTTTCTTTATTTAAATTTTCTCTGTATAATTCATAACTGTGTAATCATAACCGTATTTTACCCATTTTATATCCATCTTCCTTCATGGAAAGAAAGTTTTAAAAAATTGTGTTTTTTGTTGGCTTGGTCATTGTTGTATCCCAGTAACTAGTTCCCATAGTAGGCATCTAACAGGTATGTTTTGAATGAATGAGTATATGTGTGATGATCCTGAAGATGTAATCCACTTATATTATGAAAGTGTATGAAGAATGAACAGAGTGGGAAGACTGGAATGCCGAGAAGATAAACTTCTGGTAAAGGACAGTTGCAGCCACCAGAAGGGTCAAATTAACATTGACACAGAAGGTAGAAAGAAAATGAGTGCAGTGTGATCACAGCCAAGGAAACAGAATATTCTGATAAAGGATGGACTAGTCAACTGTATTAAATCATTTACAAAGATTTTGCATTTTAGAGCAGGTATTGCAGTTTATAGTACACAGTTCAAAAGTAAGTCACTCTGTCCTTCTGCCACCATGATCCTTTTTCTAAAAACTAACACAGTTCATTTTCTGGGAGGAATAGTAATGAGATAGTTCATATCATAGCATTTCATCTGTTAACAAACAGGTATGAAATATGTCCACAGGTGCCAGGTAGCCCTCTCTGCCTTACTCCTGCTGGTGAAGCAGCAGAATGATGATTTTGAAGAAGGTTCTCATGGAATGTGTATTACCTGTTTTGCCTAATCATTTAAACTTTTGAATTCATAATTCTTTAAATAAATGAATGAAAGATCTCTTAGCTCTGAATATTGATTGGGGTCTTTTGAAATAGTGTGCAGAAATTTCAGTAATATTGAAGGGTAGGAAGAAAGTCAGAAATAACATGTAGAAAGAAAATATATGCCTAATACTGTCAGCATATACAATAGCACAGACTTTCCAATTACTAATAAATTCTCAAATATATGGCTTTCTGAGCCTATGTAATATACATATAAGAACTCTTTTATACAACCTTTTCATGTATCTTATATATAAATGTAGTTTTATTTATTTTATGTACTAAATTGTATGTCTATAGTAGTTTAAATTTTATTAAATATTTTTCCCTTATGCTCATCAAAAATGCCCTTTATTTATTTGTCTGGCAAGCCTTGCCTTCATAGGTACTAGAAAATAAATTTCTCCTAAATTACCATAAATTCCATATTATGGGTTTATGACTTAATGAGATTTTACTGTGCAGAATTAGAAATGCAAATCACATGTCTACTGAGTCCACTTTCTCCTTCAGCAGGTATAACTAATGCTATACATGAGTTTCTGTAAAACTATCAGCCATATTAACCCTTATGACATAGAAATCAATTTAGATTATTTAACCAAAAATATAATATTAATAATAAAATAAGACCAATGTGTCACTGTTCCAAATCCTGTCTCTATTGTAACTTATTTAATCCTTACAATATACCTGTAAAAATGTTCATCATTTTTAACCCCATTTTGTATGTGAGGAAACAGCAGCAAAAATTAATCGCTCTAAGATCACACAGTTAATTTTTTAAAAAGTTAAAGGGCTCAGGCCCTTCCTGACAACTATGTGACTTTGTAAGTGAAACTCCTGTAGATTTGTCTACTGTACATTCTCAGCTTGTCTCATTCACTGAGTTAATATAATAGAAACAAAACCTCAGCCCAGTCAGAGGATCTCTGCACTTTAACAATCAAATGACTAATAGGAAATTTTGAGAATTGAGTTTCTGGGCATCTTTTAAAGGAGGACTACATCAGATTAATCGATCTTCAAGAGCATAGAAAGAAAAGTATGCCTCGGAGTACAAAATGAAATTAGTGATGCTTCCAATGGAGGTAAAATTGTTATATGAGGAAATTACCTAAGCTCTGACACCGTGGGGATGCTAATTATATTCACATACTGTCTTGGCAGAAATAAAGCACCACATCCTTTATGCTAGAAAAGGATAAAATGGGAAGGAAACCCTTTTTTACCAACTGCTATTCAAAGTCCCAAGCAGGGAGAAGAGGTATGCCTTATCAATGAGCAAAACTGATGTACAAACAAGAACATTAAAAAGTCTGAGCAATAATTTCTCAAAATCCCTATCAGGTTGGTTTCTTAGGGATGGCCATTGACAGATAGCCAAAAATAGCTAATCCAATGTGTAAAATGGGGTTTTCCCAAATGTGGGTCATGCATCTCAAAGGCCTTTCCCAGTGCTCCTTTACCAGAACTGTGTATCCACTTATATACCATAGTTAGGGATCCTAAGGTTAATAAGTCTTTTGCAGCTCTACCAAAACTCTTGAAATTCTAAAAAATGTACATAATGACTCTAAATTTAAAAAATAATTTAATGTTGAAATTAATATTTAATTAAATGTCTATAACATGTAATACCATGCCTATAATTATACATGATTATATTCAACATAGGAAATATAAACTTTAATCTGCTTTGTATTATGTGTCAAGGGTTCTCCACGACTTAAAGAACTTGGGCATATGATGGTTTTTCAAAGCTCCAGGTAGCTACAGCCTCAGGCAGACTTAATCACTTTCAAATTCTATGCATCTAAAGCCAATTGCAGTATTCTGTTCTTTTTTTTCCCTTAAATCCTTTTTCAAGGCATTCCATTGCTAATTCTACAAGAAACAAGACTGTATTTTACTTTTGTTTTTATTATCCAATGTATTATACTCAGCACACTTACTTAACTTGTATTAGCACTTGTAAGTTATAATTACAATTATTATTTTTGTTAATACTTATGTAGTGCTGACTTACTAGCTTGTTTGCTCTTTGATGAACAACATTAATTCATTATTCATTTAAGTCTTTCAAGCTTATGTGTAGTGCTTTTGGGGTTGTAAGTGACAGAAACCAAGCGTAAACTATCTCAGACAAGTGAATTTTAGGTCATGTAGCTGAAACCGTCAAGGATGAGCAGCATTGAGGACAGGTGGATTCAGGGGCTTAAGCTATTTTATTTCTCAATTCCATTTTATGAAAATTGGCCATATTCTTAGGTGGGGTCTCTTGTCAAAATAACAAGGAAGCAGTTACTCCACTTTAGCAACCCTGAGATTAACAATTTGGTAACACCAAAATTGCAAGATAAAATACTGTGTGAAGGCTTGGATCATAGACCTATATTCAACCAATCATTTGCTCTGATCAGTGGTCTTGTGCCCACCTCTGGTCCTGAAGCTGGAGTAAACCATATCTAAACCATGTGGACCATGGGTTGTTGAGGAATGAGAACCCAAAGAAGGATCCTTAACATATTGTTTCTACAAAGAGGAGGAATGGATCCGGAGCAGGCAAAAGTCAAAGATGTCTACTATGGGCAGAATAGGTGTCATTAGTAACCACATCTTTTCGATAAATCAGTTGTGGCATAGGGACTTGAATATGGCTAAAAGAGAGACCCAAATTCACCACATCCATCTTACATGAATGTCCTTGTAACTGTCCTGTAAAGATGAATGAATGAACAAATACATAAATCTAGGACATCTGGGATCTCATATTTATGTCAATTATGGTTGACTGCTACTTACATTTTAGAAATTTGCATAGTCATGTGTGAAACAATCACCTCGAAATTGTTTGAAGATAGTCATGGTATAACTGGATGCATATAAGTAAATACATGCAGGAATTGATATAAAAATTTAGTAAAATTATAAGCAAGAATGGCTAGGGATAGAAGGTCCTAAAAATTCATTATTTGAGTAACTGAGAACTACTAGTAAAAAATTATAATGTTAGTATTAAATAATTGCATTAACTTCACTTCTACATAGTAAAACTTGATTAATATTTGTTGAATAAATAAACATTTGAATGAATAAATTCCTCAAAAACCTTTTTGGCTGCCTGATATGGTTTGGCTGTGGCTTCACCCAAAATTTCATCTTGAATTGTAATTTGCATAATCCCCATAATCTCCATGTGTCAAGGGAGAGACCAGGTAGAGGTAATTGAATTGTGGGGCCAGTTTCACCCATGCTGTTCTTGTGGTAGTGCATGAGTTCTCAGGAGATCTGATTGTTTTATAAGTGTTTGTGTTCATTTCTTATTCCTACTGTCTTGTGAAGTGGGGGCCTTGTTTCACCCTCACCTTCCCCCATGATTGTAAGTTTCCTGAGGCCTCCTTAGCCATACTGAACTGTGAGTCAATTAAGCTTCTTTCTTTTATAAATTACGCAGTATCAAGGAGTTCTTTATAGCAGTGTGAAAATGAACTAAAATATTGCCTAAGCATTTAAATATGCCCATGCTAATAATCATAAACAGTTTCTAAAATTTTTGTTGACATATGATTTACCTTAATAATAAAAATGTATTATTGTATATAGTATTTAAAATATATGTCATTGTGGATAGAAAATTACCTTCCTAGCCAGGCACAGTGGCTCACGCCTGTAATCCCAGCATTTTGGGAGGCCAAGGTGGGCAGATCACGAGGTCAGGAGTTCGAGACCAGCCTGACCAACATGGTGAAATCCCATCTCTACTGAAAATACAAAAATTAGCCGGGCATGGTGGCGGGTGCCTGTAGTCCCAGCTACTCAGGAGGCTGAGGCAGGAGAATTGCTTGAACCCGGGACATGGAGGTTGCAGTGAGCCGAGATCTGAGATCATGCCACTGCACTCCAGCCTGGGTGACAGAGCGAGACACTGTCTCAAAAAAAGAAAAAAAAAAGAAAGAAAGAAAAAGAAAAAGAAAAAAGAAAATGACCTTCCCTGATACTTATATTCTAACCTCTCTACAGTTTTTTAATTCTCAGAAAACACTATGAGTTATATTCTAATGTTATCTTCATTTCACAATATTCTGAAATTGTCAAAGGTTTTGTGATTAAGAAAAGCGTCTTTTCAGAAACAGAAGAATGGAGAAGAACTAGTCAAAGTCTGTCAGAGTGAAGATTTTCTTTAATTGGAAACCTAATGAGTAGGTGATAATAACCATTGTTTTCTTTCATTTGTTTTAGCATAGTTATCTCATAATAGAAACGGCATGAAGACATTTTTTGTTCCTAGTTCCTGAGAAGATTAATTTGGTTCTAGCTTCAAATAAGATGATTAAGGGCTGTGAGTGGAAGTGTTCCTACTAAGGGTGTGGTATGTGGTGGTGTAGAGCAAAGTCATAGCTCTGTAAGATAAAGTCTTTTGCAGGAAAGAAAGTCCAACAACCAATTCCACTGATGTTTATTTTTTAAAATGTAATTTCTTTTAATGTGAGCTCAGAATTAAGTGATTGGCTTTTGGAACCAGTGATGCATCAACAAGAACCAATGAGTACTTTGGGGATTTGGTATGTTCCAACCATGCATTTTATCCAGAATTGGGCGTGTGGATTGTTCAGGAGATGATTTTGTATATTACATGGACATGTGTTGTAAATTTACGGAAAATAGATGAAGTAGTAATGCAGTTGGTACTTGGGTGTGACAAAAATAATGCAGGTGGTATGCCAACATTTGGGAATTGTTGACTAAACAAATTAGGAAAGAACTATCTGCCAAATTTCTGTAAGAGAAATTCTCATACTTTAAGCTGAAGTGAGGAACTTCCAACTCTTAAGTGTCTGTGGTTATTAGAAGTCCCTAGTGTGGGTGATCAGCAGCCATGAGATGTGAGGTGAATATGAACATCATCAGACAACAAGGTCACCTTTTTGACACAGGGATCAAAATCTAATTCAGGAATTCAGTGAATATACAGACCCTCTGTGTATGTGGACATGTTCTGCAGGGAACAAACAGATGAATTTACAATATTATTCCCCTCAAGAAGCTTACAGGGGGAGGGGGAGGAAGAATGGCAAAATGATTACAATTACTCTAAGCAGCAGAATAGTAATGTCACAAGAAACAAAGGAAGAAGGGAAACTGGCTGGGAGTAAATGGGAAAGCCTTTACTGAAAACATGCTGCTTGAAGTGGACCTCGAAGGATGGCCAAGATATTATTGCAGTTTTTAGTGGATGATGGGAAGTTTGAAATAAATTTTTGCATAGATGTAGCATCTAGCTAAAGTACAAAATTGGCCAAGTTGTGAAGATCCTTGATATCAGGATAAGGATTTTAAATGATGTAGATAGATGTAGGGTACTCTGGGATCTAGTCCTCCTTCCATCCTTCATCAGCAATGTTATAGTTGCCACATCATTTTTATCAGGGATCAGCTGACTTGTTATGATAACAAGTATCAGGCTTTGCAGGATACTCTGATCCACAGTAGTATTATGAAAGCAGCCATAGAAAAACAATAAAGGTGAGTCATGATTTAATAGGAGTAATAGAAAAGGTTAAAAATAAAGGAAAAACACAGTAAAATTTTTATCCAGAAAGAAATAAACAACCAAACTAGCAGTTTATCATGTTACACAAATAGGCACTAGTAATCTGAGAGGGTCTTTTATGTCACCTCCATTTTTAAAGGGGCATGAGAGTATTTGAAAAGAATGGCATGACATCATAGATCATTTTAATCTTAGTGTGAAGTTGAGCTGACTAGAGGAAAAAACCTCAGATCTCAGATTCTTTTAAAAATATACTGGAAATGTACTTAAGAATTTACTGTAAAAGATAGTAAAGTGGATGCTTATCTAATTGTTCTATTTATTTTCTTGGGAGCTGGAGTACGTAGTGCCCATAGAGAAGCTGGCTGTCCCCTTCCATTCTTCTATAAGGAAGGGAAGAATAAATGGGACAGGAGAAAAGAGAACCATTAAGATTTTATTTTAACTAAAAGTTCTGGGAGAGTAAATTTTTTTTTAAAAAAAAGCTAAAATTTAAATATTAAATAAAACAGATATCAGAGAAAACAACTTCTGAAGATAGCAAATCAAACTTAAAGATTTGGAAAGACCCTGAAGCAATCATTGATATATTACAGAAAATAGGCAGTTCATTTGAAAATTCATAGATAAAACAAGAAACTTCAAAGAGCTATCTAGCTTGCCGTGGGCATCTTTGATCTATACCTTTAAACATGTTATGTATTTTTCTCTATTATTAAAGGCACGCAAAAGATGGTTATGTTGGTGCAGCCTCTCAAGATGCCCATCACCAGTGATTATGAGGTGAGGAATAGAACAATTCTTGAGAAACTTATGCTCCAGAGCTTCCTTATAGGATCAAACTCAGCCTACCCACTACATGGCTCTTCCTTGAAACCTCCCTTGTCTTAGTTTCCCTCTTTCCCTGTCTTACTTTTTCCTGTTTCTCATCATCTGCACAGAAATCCTTCTCTCAAGGTCAGCTTCTGGGAATTGAACCTAACACAACTGGGTACTTTTGGATGCATTCTGGAGGAGAACTGTTTCTGGAAAATAAGACATCATTACTGGAACTCTGCAGATGAGAATGGCACCATGAGTTGTGGAAGAACAATAACTAGCTGCTGTGTTGCTGTTTAACACTTCTTGTATGATTTTTTGAGACATGGGGTGACTCCCAAGTTACATTCTCTTCCTGACTTTTAGTTGTATCAAATGTAAAATGAGGGTGTAAAATTAGGTGATTGCCAAAGTTCCTTCCAGCTGGAAAAATTCTATGATGTAAATCAGGGGTTGGCAAATTATGGACCTCTGGCCAAGTCCAGCCATACCTCCTTTTTTTTGAGTGAAGTTTTACTGGAATGCAGCCCTGCTCATTAGTTTAGGTATTGTTTATACCTGCTTCGTGCTGCAGAGTTGGGTAGCCTAGGCTACTCTGCAACTCTATGAGACTCATAATGATTATTATCCTCAACATTTTAAAAAACAGGTGAGGAAATTGAGACAAAGCAAATTTAAGTTGCCCAAGTTTACAGGATGAGTAATGGCAGAGCTGATGTTCGTATTCAGCCAAACTGCCTCCAGAGTTGGTGCTTTTAACCACAGTGCTAAACTGCCCTGATTTAAGAAGCCCACAATGAAAGTGAATGTTAAAACCTTTTGACTCATAGTAATTAAGATGTGCTTGCTTTGTTTTTAGTATGAGGGTTAACATTAACAGGAATACATATGGAAGAATGGATGGAGGAGAGGGAAAGGGGAAAATTCTGCAAGCTCAACAAAGTTAGAAAATAATATCAACAATAAAATATGGCCTGTTTATTTATTTTTTTTTACCATCACGTGCAATCCTACAATGTGGTTTCATGTTCCCTTCATTTTTCCTCATGGTGCAAATCACAGACACATTTACAAACAAATTCACAACTAAGATGCTTAACTTGGTCCTCAGCATGCCAGCATCCTGTGTCTGTGGAGCAGAACTAATCATTTTATGTCACTTCTCACTTCTCCTCCCCTCCCACTTCCTTTGAGATTGCAATTCTGCTTAGGCAATGTGATGAATGACAATGCCAAGGGTAGATAATTTTGCTTTTGACAATTTACACTTTCACAGTGCATCAGCACAATGTTTTGTAAATGTTTTTGGTTTTTAGATCACATTGACATTAATCCTCTCAAAATATATTTGTGTATCCTTTTCCACTGTGGTGAAGGCTCATTTGAATGGAACAAGTTTAAACACTAACTTAAATTGAAGAAGGAAATATCTTAAAGAAGAAAGGATGGAGAGGTATTTTCCAATTTATCTTTCTTAAATCACAGCTAGAATTCAAGTCATAGAGGAGTAGGAGTGGCTAATATAAATTTTTGTTTCCTTTTCTTTTTTTCTTTTTTTTCTTTGAGATGGAGTATTGCTCTTATTGCCCAGGCTGAAGTGCAGTGGTGTGATCTCAGCTCACTGCAACCTCCGCCTCCTGGGTTCAAGCAATTCTCCTGCCTCAGCCTCCCAAGTAGCTGGGATTAGAGGCATGTGCCACCATACCCAGCTCATTTTTGTATTTTTAGTAGAGATAGGTTTCACCATGTTGGCCAGGCTGGTCTCGAACTCCTGACCTCAGGTGATCTACCTGCCTAGGCTTCCCAAAGTGCTGGGATTACAGGTGTGAGCCACCGTGCCTGGCTTCTATTTCTTTTTTGGTAAATATTTTGTCATAGTGTTTTAACAATAACCCACAATGTAAACTCATCTCAGAAAATTTGGTTTTGGCCATTATAGCTGTAATTTAACTTCTTTCCTAATGCATGTAAAGTGGCTGATAAATTTCTTATTCTGCTCAAGTCAGCACTTCCTAACCTTACTATTTTTGGCAGTGTTTGGGACTATAATAAGATTAAACCAGTCTTGCTCTGTTCCTCTCTGTCTTTCTGTGTCTGTCAGTCTCTCTTTCTATCCTTCTCTGCCTCTCTCCTTCTGTTTGTTTTATATTTCCATTATTGCCTGATTGCCTGAGTACTTACTTGTGCTAGCCACTGTGCTATTTAATATGCTGTACTTCATTTATTCTTCACAGTAACCACTGAGTTTGGGATTGCCATTGACAATTTTCAGATGAGGCAACTAAGGATGTACAAAGTTAAATGTTACACAACTGTAGTAATAATAATGTAGTTTAATAATAAGTTGTTATATTAATGCAATAATAATAATGATACACTCAAGATTCCAATTCAGAATGGTCTTCCTCCAGGTAGTAACCTTAAACACAGTGCAAGAACACAAAAGGTTCAGAAATCCTCAAATAGTAATGTGAATCAAGAAAGATACAGGCTTCCATGTAGGAACCAGATAGTCATGATCCTAGGCCAGCAGACTGAAGGTAAAGAACAGACTGGTGATAATCAATCATGCAAGAGGTTAGAGAGATAAACATTTAACTTGACCAGAACTTGAGAGAGCTCAGAGCTTTGATGACAGGTATCTGATGTCCAAAACAGCACCTGGGCTAAGAACCAGGATTGTAGGACCTGTTAACTCCAGCACCTTTTCTTTGCACAGAAAAGATAAAAGAACCTGATTCTGTAGCAGAAATTTTCTGAACTTGCAAAAGGGGATCAGCACTTACTAAGTACTGATTTATGTAGTTTAATAATAAGTTGTTATATTAATGCAATAATAATAATGATACACTCAAGATTCCAACTCGGATTGGTCTGCCTCCGGGTAGTAACCTTAAACACTGTACAAGAACATAAAAGGTTCGGAAGTCCTCAAATATTAATGTGAATCAAGAAAGATACAGGCTTCCATGTAGGACAATTTTCTCTTTTTGAGCACCGTGCATAGACTAGTATATGTCAGCTTATTTAATACTCTTCACAAACATACGGGAAGCAGCTATACTGCCTATAGCTACACAGGTAGTAAGACTGCACATAGATATGGGTAGCATTGGGAAGCTTGCTGGCACTTAACTGAATTTAAAAAAATATGTGCGTAATAGAGTGGTGCTACTATAAGCTTGTAAAAGAAAAAGAGCTCTGATAGCTTAGAAAACTTTGAGTTTTGTTTTTTCTTATAAATTGAAAGAGAGCAGGGAAACAGAGTATGGTGATTTGGGGGAAGAAACTCTTCCATATATTATTTAAATAACATCTACTTGCTTTGAAAGAAGTGTATACCATTCTTCATCTACGTTTGAATGCTATGTATGTTGTTGAATCTAGATATATAAACCACCAATCTGTCTGCAACTGGAAAAGTATCAGGAAAATCAGTAAGGGGAAGACCTCTAATATCTTTTGATGAGTAATATAAAAAGTTAAAAACAGGCTGTTTAAAAGTATAAATTGTGCCTCCCTAACACTTTAGTTTTAGGAGGATTCTCCATAAAGAACATAATGCATTTAGAATCTAACTTGATTTGTCAAGTTTCTCTTAAGATTTGACCAAGAAGAAAACTGAACTGTTCCTCAAGTGTTTGCTAAGACTAAAACAGAAGCAAAAACAACAAACCAACAAAAAAACAAAACGGAATCCAAAATGGTGAAACTAGCCCTGGAGTATATTAGAATTGGTAATTAACTTCTGTTGACAGTCCACAGACACCTTTTAAGAAAAACTAGTGACTGTGGCATCCAATTCCCTTTGCTTGAATCTAAAGCACTACTTTGAGAACTTATACAAATAACACCTTTTCATTTCAGCCAGGCTCATTTTTGCTTGTCTAATTATTTTCAATGTTTTTTTATCACCCAGGCTGGAATGCAGTGGCATGATCACAGCTCACTGCAGCCTTGACCTCCTCAGGCCCAGGGGCTCAGGTGATCCTCCCACCTCATCTACCTGAGTAGTTGGGACTACAAGCATGCACTACCATTCCCGGCTAAGTTTTGTATTTTTTGTTGAGATGAGGTTTCATCATGTTACCCAGGCTGGTCTTGAACTCCTGAGCTCAAGCCATCCTCCCACCTCGACCTCCCAAAGTGCTGGGATTGCAGGCATGAGCCACCGCATCTGACCCTTGTCTGATTTATTAGGCTAAGGTTTCTTTCTTCTACAGTGGTGGTTTTAGTTGTGCTGTTTTCTAGCACAACTTTAGTGGGTGCAGCAGATTCAGCTAATCAAATCATTTCACTCCCTGGCCCTCCACATGTTCTATGTTACTTCTGGAATCTCACCTGGTTCACTTTCTTCCTCCTTCACTACTCTCCACCTACGCTTCCCATCAATACCAAGCAGGCTCCTGCCCCCGAGCTGTCAGTGTTGCTTCTCTGCCTGGAAAGCTCCTCTCCTAGATCTTCCTCTGGCTAGCTGCATATTCAGATCTCATTTCACATATGACCTGCTCAGAGTGGCCAACCACATGCCTCCTCAGCACCAGTCAGTATCACTCTATTATATTACAGCCTTTCAATGGCTTTTCATCTGAACTGTACTTTTTAACTTGTTTATTGCCTTCTCCTATTAAAATGCAGACTTCAACAAATGGTTCTGGATTGAATGGGATATGGTTTGGCTCTGTATCCCCACCCAAATTTCATCTGGAATTGTAATCCTCACGTTTCACTGGAGGGACCTGGTGGGAGGTGATTGGATTATGGAAGTGGTTTCTCCCATGCTGTTCTCATGATATAGAGTTCTCATGAGAACTGATGATTTTAACGTGTGGCACTTGCCCTTTGCTTGCACTCTCTTGCCTGCCACCAGGTAAGATGTTCCTTGCTTCACCTTCTGCCATGATTGCAAGTTTCCTCAGGCCTCCCCAGCCATGTGGAACTGTGAGTCAATTAAACCTCCTTTCTGTATGGATTGCCCATTCTCAGTAGTATCTTTATAGTAGTGTGAGAATGGACTAATACAAAGGGAGTCTACTGGTCAAACAAATGTGGAGTTGGAGTCATCACCATATATTTCTTATGAGGAAATACTTGAAGGGAATAGTATAGTTATATGTAAAATTTAACCAGCCAACTCAAAATTTACTCAAGGAAATTTCTGGAAATTGACTTGAGGTAAAATATTTTCTTATGAGATTACCAAGTCCTATCACAAAATTCTCCTATTGAAATGAACTCTTAACCTCAGGTTACTTTCTGCTTCTGAGAATTTTCTTGAATTTACATTGATTCTCAATGACTTCCTACATGTAAATCACTTTCCAAAAAAACTAGCAGACTATTGAATGGGAACAGTATGTATTGAGTTGGTAATTAATTTCTAAACATCAGTTAAGAACACTAAAATGAGGAAAAACAACTGTATGTAAGTTACATCACTTAATAAGACTGTTAATGAAGAAAACCAATTCAATTTTAGGAAATAAATCAGCTTATACTTACAAATATTTAATATTCAATGCTTTTACTGAGCAACTACTGTGTAGCCAGGTATTTTTCAGGCACTAGAAATACAGTGGTAAAAAAAAAACACTATTCCTTTGTTCAATGAAGATATATTTTAGTAGGGAGTAAACTGCAAGTAAATATAAGAACAAATTGTGATACAATGGTTTTTTAAATAAGGGGAAATTATGAGGGGAGGAGTTAGAGGTCAAGATATGCTACATGAACAAATTATGTTTAATTGGAATCTAAAGGTTTTACCCAAGCTTAGGGTGGTAGTTATAAGGTTCTAGTGGAAGGAGGATAGGGGAGTAGGGGAAGACGAGTCTAGTGGAGGGAAGAGCAAAGGTGAAATCCCCCTCCCATTCTAAGGCAGAAGAAAGACTGACTGGATTGAGGAACTCCAGCATGGCTGCAGTAAAGTGAGCATTCGAGGCCCCAAATAAAGAGAGCAATCCACGTTTGGTAGGCAAACCAAATAAGGTAGAGTGAGTGACAGTGGCTGTTGAACATACATTATGATGTGTGGTTTTTGTTTTTGGGTTTTGTTTGTTTGATTTTTGGTGATAGGCCTGATTTGATCAGCTACCTCTGTTTTCTTTTACAAAGTCCTAATGAGTTCATTTATTTCATCATTTAAAAATAAGTTACTGAATACCTTCTATATGCAAGAGAGTACAATATGTGATGATGACATCTAGAAATGGCCAATCACATCTGAACATTTACAATCTGAGTTATAGAATACAGAATAGTTATGTTCATATTAAGAATTGCTTTATATTTAATAGCCTTGGGTTATTGGGTTAACAGGAAAAATGAAAGAATCTACAAATTGTTCTCAGAGTTTATAATTTGGACCAAATATCAGGCTCCAAGTCTCACTTCCTTAGGTTGAATCCTGACTTCACTGCTTCCTAATTTTCTGTGTGTGGGCAACTGCATTTTTTCTTTAAGCTTCAGTTTACTGTTTTATAAACTGAGAGTAATGGCAAAATTCTTACATGGTTATCTACAGAGGAGGGGATAAGAGAGGTAAAGTGACAGAATAGATATTACATGAAATAGAGGTCTAATGTATGGCACATAATATTGACTTAATAAATAGTAAGCATTATATTTTACTCCACACAAATAACTCAAAGATAATTTTTTATTGTAATCCTCAGTTTGAGGACATGTACTTGATGTTTCTCGTACTTGTCTGGTTGTTGGAAGTACCAGACATAATCATTTGATTGGTCTGTGGATACGGCTGGGCAACTGTAGTTGTTAAAGCTTCCTAGGTGATTCTGCTGTACAGTGATAGTTGCAAACCACTGACCTAGAGGCTGCTGGAGGATGACAACATCCTGCTCCCCTCTGCGTCCTGACCTACCTCAGTAAGAATTTAAGTAAGTGGCGAAATCGCCAAAGGGCAGGTAAAAGAAGGTACACACTGGGGTGTTACAGGAACCTGATAGATTTATATAGTGTGTCCTTAGGGCCCTGTTTGTACTGTATTTTCAGTCTGTTTGGTGAGAGTTTCTAACCAGATGTGAATATTCAGTTTCCCTCATCCCTGGGATCCCATTACATCTTTGCAGAATTCATTGACACCAAGAGTGGAAATTACTCTTTAAAGTCATTAATAGGCACACTGTTGCATCATAAAATGTTAATACATTTAATAGTCTCCCAGCATCCTGAATAAAGCCTATGTATTTCTGAAAATGTCTGATGGACTTGAAGGAGTATCTGACATGGAAGATTTTAGACTAAAGATCCCTCTGCTCTTTCACAAAGGATATCCTTTCCCCAACTATGCTAGATAAATCTTCCTAAGCCATCCCTTTGATTATGTCATTCTCCAGTGCAAAAACTTCCAATGGCTCCCCACAACTGCAGGAAAACTTCTAACCACTTGAAAATGGCTTTCAAGTTTCTTGACTGCCTGGATCAGTCATCATTTATAGACATGCCAATATTTTTCTCTTGCTCAAACCCTGTGCTTTAGCCAAATGATCTATTGACTGCACCCTGAACATACTTTGTGCTTTTCGCCCTCTATATCAATGTTTCTCAAACTTTCATATGTATACAGATCAACTGAGAATCATGTTAAAATACAGATTTGGGTTCATTAGCTGGAGTAGAAGTGCAATGAATTTCTTCATTTCTAACAATCCCTCAGGTGTTGTATGTGGTGCTGGTACCACAACTCCACTTGGGGAGTAAGGCTCTACGCATAGGTTAATAAAAGCTGTCAGGCAGAGCAAGACTCCGTCTTAAAAAAAAAGAAAGCTGTTAGGTAAACCAGAATAATTTATTGTCTCCACGTTGCGTATTTCATTCCTGTTTATTTTCAATGTTTATGTGACAAAGTTATTAACTGAGATATTAATTTTTAACTCCTCATGGTATCTCTCCTTTTCAATCCATTTTCCAAAAATATCATGGTCTTGTGTGACCCCTTCTCTCCGGACAGGTTTGTGTTTCTGGGCCATGAGAAAGGTGGCTTGCAAGATGCATCCTGGTCTGGTTTGGTTTTCCTACAGCCTAAGACATTCAAAAAAATGTTGCTGGATTTCTTGGGGAAGAGGAAATGGTCTGGCTCTTTGAGGAGCAGACAGCAGTGAGGAGACTCCTCTAGCCTAGAAGGGGATGGAGGTTTGAGGAGGCTACTCTTCTGAGGGATGGCTGTGTGTTATACACACACAGGTTACTGGAACCTTGAGAACACAGCTCCAAAGCTTGCCAGAGAAGTAAGTACCCCAAGCTTGACAAGTAAACTGTAGAATCTTGTGCATTAAAGGAGAGAAGCTGCTTTGTCCCAATTTTAGAGCAAACTTAGAAGCTCTGCAAAAATGGGGCTGGGGTGGAATAAAAAATGACTGATAAATTAGATGCCCCACATGTTGGGGAATTGTAAAAGGTTTTAGGTAGAAAAGAAATTGATATTCCTTTTAAGCTTCAATGTTTGAATCAAAATCCATATGTGCTAAACTTATTTCAGATCCAGTATCCTCCTGAAACCTGCTTTGGTGTACACAAGGGCATCATGACTGAGGGAAGCAGACCTGACTCTGGGATCAAATGAGCCCAGTTTGAAATTTTAATTTGATATATATGTGAGTGTCAGAATTTTTATTTGCAAAAATGTGGCTAATGACATTTATTTCACTGGATTGTTGAGAGGGTTAGAAATCATAAATATACCCATGTTGCATGTGGTGTATAGTCAGTAAATGCTATTATTATAGCTATTGCTTCTTTACTACTACCTGTAACACTTTTACTATGATCCAAGTAGCATTTGAGGATGTCAAATGCATCCAAAAAATTCCTAAAATTGTGTTGTCTACATAATTAATTTGAATATTATTAATAATCTTTGATAGTAACCAGACACTAATAACTTTTGATCATAATGATGCTCGTTAATTTATTACCTACTTTTAACAGTTATTTCCCAAGTGTCTCAGTATTGCACCTGCAACATAAACTCTGAAGCAGGAGATTATAATTTGTACTTCTTGGTAATTCATTGATGTTTATTCTAGTGTCTCATATATAGTAGATACTCAGCAAATCCTTGGCACCTGGTATTGCAAAACTATGACTTCTCATAATTTAGTAGAATGTTAGGGGACAAATATTTTCAATAAAATTTTTGCAATGTGGAATTAGGAAAAGTACTGCATTTTAATCTACATTACTTCCTTATTGCTTGAACAACTATAATATACTCTCAGTCTGAAGCAAGTGAGCTTCATGCTTCATCACATCCAAATCTGCTTATGTTTTGTTTCTTACGAAGTAGGCTGAATTTTAAGGTAGATGCAACTATGGAAACTCCAGAGTGGGGGCAAGCAGACCAATGAAGAGAATCATTGTTTCTTTATCTGTTGTATAAATATTTTTGCAGAGCTTTTGAACCCAGAATATCAAGGCAAAAGCCATTATGCTCTTTAATTTAATTAAATAGGATTCAATATTTTTCAAGTAATATCCTGATATATATTTCAGGAAAATATAACAAAGAATCAATTTTGTAGAATTCAGTTAGCTAGGGGTTAAATTCTACCCTAGCAACAGAAACTTTACAGCTGCTGTCAGAAACAGTAATTACTCTGGTCAATATTCTCTAAGAAACTCCAGCTGTCTTATCAAGCTTGCTTTGTCAGAAAGACTCCTTTCCTGTTAGGGGCATCAGTTGTAGAATAACCATGATGGTGCCAATGAAAGAGTTGAAAAAAATGTTTTAGAAGCCATAATGTGGCATATATATATATATATATATATATATATATATTTGTTTTTTGCTTAAATTTAAAGTTCTGATAATATCTACTGTGCTTTTAGACAATCTTCCACTGAATTTTAAAGAAAGTACAAAAATGAGAATTTTTCTCTTTGAAACAAACTCCTAAGAAATTAATACTAATGATGGCCTTCAATGCAAATTTCAACCCACCTGGCAAACAAAGCTGAATATAGTAGCAACTTATATCCTGGAGGCTCTAAGATGTTATCACCTCAATGTGACATCCTATGAATAGGAGCTTAGCTTTAAACCTAGTCAGAGGTCACAAATGATTCATTTTGTTCATGTATATATTCATGGGAATTCTCATCATTCTTAGAGATATGGTTCTTCAGAGGTGACTTTTAGCTCATACAATTACTTATCATGGTATTTCCCCTTTTCTACTGGTGGGGAAAATTTAGGAAGGAGGAAATAGGGACTAATGAGCCTATACTCAGGTGACAAAAAGGGATATATGAGGAAGTGAATGAGCGGTTGGTGTTAATGGAACTGATTAGAGTACAATTAGAATTGAAACCCTATGTTATAGCACTTAGCAGTGGAAAGTTTCAGTAGAAAACTAGAGCTAATTATTACCATCCTCATTTTACCTAAAATAAAACTTCAACTTTTTAACCTGAGTTAATTTCCATGATCGATGCTTAAATACTTTTTTAGCATCGTCCTATGCCATGCTTAGACACTGAGACCTTTTTTAATTCTCAGACTTACCAAGCCTGTTCTTAACTTAGGCACTTTGAGCTAGATGTTTCTGGGGTTTTCTTTCTCACATTATTGTTCCCTCTGTCCATGTTGCCATCTCCTGATCTTTGTATAGCTGGCTCCTGCTTACAATTACAATTTCATCTTAAATGCCTCATCTCCCAAGGGGTCTCACTTGATCATCATACATAAGGTTGTCATCCACTAGGTTTCTATCTGCCTTAATTATCTATATGACACTTACTATTACTTCCCCCTTCTAAATATACTTGATTATTATCTTCCTCCACTTGAAGATAAGCTCTGCAGAAGCAAGGATCTGGTTAGTTTTATTCACTTTGATATCAGAAATTACAATGATGCCAATTATTAGTAGACACTTACTAAACTGGTCTTTGAAGGGGTGAATGAATTTAAGAACACAAGTTACCTTAGAGATTTTTATTCATGGCATCCTTAAATTGAAATCCATAGATTACATAAATATTTTCATATGAATAATACTTTCTTTTCTCAGAAGATGAGCCATGGTTTTCAACAGAGTCTCAAAGGGGTCTCAACCTATTGTTTCAAGTCTCAAGCTGGGTTTCCCAGAAGTGGTGCTGAGATGAGAAATCATGTAAAAGTGGTGTGTTAAGAAGTGTTTTTAGGAAAAACAAGTTGTCAAGTAGGAAGCAAGGCTGGGAAGGGAAGGAAGCCAAGCAAGGGTGTGGCATCAAACCAAGTCCCACTGGGGAGCTTTAGAGACAAGCGGCCTCATTCAGAGCTGTATCAAGGGCCTAATGAGTTTATACCTCCACATCCTTAGTCATTGGCTCATGGTTTCCCTGGGGAAAAGGAGGGTGTAATTCCGGCTCTTTCAGTTTGCACATAAAGCGGTATCAGGAAGCCTGAGGGTGGCCCTGCAAATGAAGGGAGGTGAGTTCTAGCCATTAGCAGTAAAATTTCCTGAGATCTCATGTTCATGTTCCTGAGATCTCATAATCATGGAATCATGATCATCCATGTTTCAGAGGCTATGGGTGGAACACTCACAGTATATGCTACAGCTCCTTCAAAAGAAAAACAAGTGGTTTAATAATTATCACTCAGTCTATTATAATTCCCTCATTCTATAAATTGGGAAAATAAATTCTACTGAAGTGAGGTGGTTTTCTTAATAATACTTTGGTAAACTTTGTTTGGATCAGATCCAAGATTGAAAGACTACCGGCCTATTTATTCATTACTGAAAACTCTGTAAATAATTACACACATATATACAAATAGATTTTTATTAAATGTAAGATTTCTTCCCAGAAGTTATGGAAAATACAATATCAATAAATTACTACCATCCTCAGTGACTCTGTAGTGCAGTCAGACAAAAGATATATATCAACAATGAGCACTATAAAATATGATCACATAAGAAGGAATACATTTTTACCGAGATACAGAGCAGAGAGTAATCACATCCAGCTTAGGGACTCAAGGAAGAGTTCACCGAAGTTAAGACCCTTAACCTCAACATATCTTTCTTGTTAAAAGAAAATGTGTCCATTTAGAGATATTTGAATGAGTGTCTACTATATTCTAGACAGAGTAATGAGCACTGAGAATATGGTGGCAAATGAAAAAGGCAAAGTTCCTACTCTCCTCTACTTTATATGTATTTGGATAAAGAACAATGATGACCAGGAAGAATGACAAACAAGAGAATGTCAAATACTGACAAGAACTATAAAGCAAGGAAAAATGAACAGAAGTGGAGGGAGGAAAGTTGACACTAGTTTAGATGTAGTGATTAGGGAAGATTCCTCTGACACTAAAAATTTGAATTGAGACCTGAAGAATGAAAGGAGCCAGAAGCAGAGAGGAACACGCATAGGAGAAAAGAAATCCAAATATAAAGGGCAAGTTCAAAGGCTCTGAGGCATGAACAAGCTTGGAATAATCAGGAAATAAAAAGACAGTTAATTTGTATTTCAGTAGTCAAAGAGGAACCCAGTAAGAGATTATTTTAGAGAGATTGGCAGGGTCTTGTAGCCCAGAGTGAGGAGTTTGCCTTTTAAGTGCAGTGGTTAAACATGACATTGCTCATGTTTTAAAACCTCTGTGTACCAACTATTAGAAACTGGAATTAAAATTAAAAAACATACTGTTTAATTAGCATCAAAAATTTATTAGTTATATACGTAACAAAATATGTTCAAGATCTGTAGGAGGAAAACTAAAAACAACAACAACAACAACAACAACAACAACAAAACACTGATGAGAGAATCAAAGAGCTTGATAAATCTAGAGGTATTCCATTTTCATAGACCGGAAGACTCAGTGTTGTTCAGATGTTCTTCCCAGCTTGATCTATGAATTCCATGGTATCCTAATTAAAATTCTAGCAAGCTATTTTGTAGATAACAACAAACTGACTCTATTATTTATATACAAATATAAAGGAAACAGAATGACCAACACGATGCTGAAGATGTAAAACAAAATTAGGGAACTGACACTATCCTACTTTAGGATTTACTATAAAGCTGCAGTAATCACAATACCTTGTTATCAGTGAAGGAATAAACACATAGATCAATGTAATAAAATAGAGTCTTCAGAAATAGACTCATACAAATTTGGTTAACTTATTTTTAACAAAGCCAAAAGGCAATTTGATGGAGGAAGGATAATCTTTTTAACCAATGTTACTGGAACAATTGAATGTCAATATAAAAAATTTGTACCTAATCACAGGTATTACATGTTACATAAAAAACAATTTTAAATGACTTAGAAATTTAAATGTAAAATAAAAAATATAAACCTTCTAGAAGAAACCATAGGGCAAAAAAATCTATGTGAACTTGGGTTCGGTGATGACTTCTACATACAACTCCAAAAGCATAATTCATAAAATAAAAATATGATAAATTGAACTTTATTAAAATTAAAAACTTTAACTCCACAGAAGACAAAGAAGATCTCTCGGTTTCTAATACTATTTTCCAATGAAAGAACACAGATCTCTTTGAATAAAAGCCTCTTCCAAGGCTGGGGCAAGGTATATACAAACTGAGCCTAAAGCACATTGTAGTGCCAGAAAGTAAGGAAGTGCTGAACACACTCACACAAAAATGAAATCAAACTCCTACACAATGATAGAGTATGCCAAAAGGCATAGAAGCCAACTGACAGAGCTCCCAATGGCCAAAACTGGAACAATTTGAGGGGAAAAATAAATAATATACTGTTAGATTATAACACAAAGTATAAAATAAATATCATTTAATCTGTACTTATATAAATGGTTAAATAAATGAATGAATGGGAAATGAGAGACATATTTCCTTTGCAGATGAATTCCAAATCCTTTTTGTAGATACTCCACCCTCAAGTCAGGGTTGGGTGGAGCATAATTCTCCACCTTCCTGTTGGCTGTTCATGGTCAATTCCTTTCAAAGAGTGCAGTATACGAAGGAGGAAACAGAGTACAACGATAGTGGATAAACCCGACAGACACGACCTCAGCTAGGTAATCACAGTTTAGACCCAAAGTGATATCATCATGTTGGTATCATGAACCCTTGCTATGATGTGATGGCAGTGGAACCTGACCTCTGTAGCTCTTCCGCAAAACCTTAGTTTAATCATAAGAAAAAGAAGAAAAAAATAACTCCACCAATTCAGGGCTATTCTACAAAATGTCTCTCCAATACCCTCAAAACTCTCAAAGTCATCAAAATAAATGAACAGAAAAGTTTGAGATAAACATATCAACTAAGTGTAATGAGATATCCTGGAATCAAAATGGAAATAAAGTAAACTGTAAAGAAATATGAATAAAATGTGAACTTTTGGTAATAATGTATCAACATTGGTTTAGTAGTTATGACAGATGTACCATACTAACATAAGATGCTAATGATAGGGGAAACTGGGTGTGGGGTGTAGGGGAACTCTTTTTACTATCTGTATAACTCTCCTACAAACCCAAACCTCTTCTAGGACAATGTTTACTAAAAATTCTGTGGCATTATAACCAAAAATAGGAAATAAAAGTCCATCTGACGTAAAATGGTTATGCAAATTTAGGTCCACGCTCATGATGGAATACTACACTGCATTAAAAATAACACACTTCTGATGCATGCAATAACACAGATACATTTCAAAGTATTTTGTTGAGGATAGAAGCCAGAGAAGCCAGAATCAAAAGAATGCATACTCCATGATTTCATTTATATAAAATTCAAGAATAGGCAAAGCTAATTCATGTAAAAGTAATCAAAATGATGATTGCCTCTGAGGGGTAGGGATTGAAAGAAGGCATGAGAGAAATTTCTAGAGTGTTGGAAATGTCTTGTATCTCAATTTTGGTAGTAGTTGATGAAGTATATATTTATCAAAACTCATTGAATTGTAATTTTACAATCTGTTCCTTTCATGGCATGCAAATTTTACTTCAAAAATGCCTACATTAAAATTCTATAAAAACACTTGGGCTACTGGGAAGAGAATGAGTTTCAGGGAGCAAGGATACTACCAAAGAGATCATTTAGGAAGCTACTTCAGAAGTCTAAGAGAGAAGTGATGGTGACTTTTCATCGTGATATAATAGAGAATGAGATAAATGTATGTTTTTAGATATATTTCGGAGCTGGAGGCAACCAGGATATACTGTTTTAGTAGATAGAAAAAGTAGAAATTCTTATAGAAAGAACACTGAGCTTAATCGACAAATCCAAATATGAGCTTCAGCTTTGCTATCTTTTCAATTTTGTGATCATCCACAAATAACTTAATCTATCTGTGCCTTTAATATCTCATTTTTAAGTGAGCTGATTAGACCCATTCTAGGTAGCTCACAGGTTACAGAATGTGTATGTGGAAACAGTTTGTACATTGTAATATATCACTTATGTTAAACTTACTAAATACATTACATAAGGAATATGTAGTACTGGAAAATATATCATGGATTACTTAATCATCAACCACAAACAGATAAACTATTCTGACTTAAACAGCTCTATTTCTTTGCACTAACACTCTATTTATTTGACTTACTACACAGCTCAATTTCTTTTTAGTTGGGATAAAAATCTCAACTATGGACATTAAGAATCTGAGACTACAGATCAGAAAAAAAATGTTGTGTACATGGTAAGAGATCAAAGTTGCAGTACTGAGGACATTTTGTTATACAGTGTCTAAAAGTTCAAAATTCCATGGACAGATCTTACTGAGACATGATGACACCTCAAATAAACTCAGTTTAGTTTACATCTGTTTGCAAGTAAGCACGGAAAGCATTCTTATATCTTCAGAACGATTTAACCAAGGTTATGCCACTCTAAATCTATGCTCAAAACTCTCATGATAAATCCAAGAGAACAGCCAATCAAACCTTAGTCTACTAAGGTTTCCTAGGAGACTTACACGCAGTTAGAGAAATGGATTGTACACAGTTGAGAAAAAAAAAATGCTGCAGCAATTTCACCTTACTGAAACTTTCCCTTTCTAAAAAGATCACACACACACACACACACACACACACACACACACACACATACCCCTAATTATTTGGAAAATAAAAAAGGACCATCACAGCCAAGAGGCAAAGGACCTGAACACTCATTAGAATCTATGAGTACCATTGTCTTCTATACTATGGTTGCAGATGATAATACTGCAAATAGTGATGTGATTTGAAAAAATGTGTTTAACTTCCTAGGAATGCTCCTTGGGATAGCATCCATGTTATGGTCTCATTCTAAACTGGGAATTGTTAAATTATATTCGTACAAAAACCTGATTGGGTGGGTATTCAAAAATGTGTATTTATTTCTTTATTCTCAGAATGTAGAAAGTGCTCAAGACATAGTAGCTGTTAAGTAAACCTGGTTGCATTATTTGAGAAATAGCACTGAAGTTCCTGATTTTATAATGTCCTATTCTATCCTCAACTCAAGGCACACTCATGATTAGCTCAGTGGGTGACCAATAAGCATCAGTATTCTTGGCCATTTCCCCTTTCCTAATTTGACTCCACTGACTCCATATCTAGAATACAATCAATTTGCCTAGTTAAGCTTAAGTAGATGAAATGAATCCCTTCCTCTCACCATTATATTCCCGTATGTGGATTTGGCACTTTGAGAAAAGGTGAAACTGAGTAGTTAATTCATCTAATACATATTTATTTAGTATTTAGTATGAGCCAGGTAATGGAAATGTTGATTGGTATCCTAACTAATTTTGTACAAATCCTTAACATCTAAAATTTATTGTAAATTGTGCCTAGACAAATCTAATAGACTTTTATAGCTAGAAAGAACTCTGCTGGCATGTGGCAAGATTCAGGATTTCTAAATCCTTAAGTGCTATCTCATCAGCAACCACCATGATAGATTAGAAACTGAGTGATGCACACAGAAAACTAGCCAGCCAAATGCATTTTCTTTGTTACTAGCTAAGATTTAACTCTCAGTCCTACCTGTGTGATCTGTTGCCCTCATATGCCACACGTGTGCCTCTAGAATTTCTAAAGCCAGGTTGAGTTATCAAATCTAGCCTAGAAGATGGTTGAAGTATCAGAATATAAAAGTTGTTAGATGGAGTTCATATCTGCTTGTTTACACCTATATTCAGAGTGCCCAGCACTGAAGCTGAGTTTAAGTTTTGTTGGGTGAAGACATGAAGGTAAACTGCTTCATGCTTCTTTTCCTTAGAATCTCATTTCAGTAGGCCAGGAGAACAGGGACACTGATTAGGGATCTGAGAGGAAGCCCTGATCTCCATGGAAGGATTAGATGAAGTCACTACTATTCAACAGCCATTTATTGTAATTCCTTCATTGAATAGATACAAACAATTATTCCAGGAAGGGCAATGTTTGCTCAAGGTCATTGTGTTAGTCTGTTCTCACGCTGCCAATAAAGACATACCCAAGACTGGGTAATTTATAAAGGAAAGAGATTTAATTGACTCACAGTTCGGTATGGCTGGGAGACCTCAGGAAACTTATATATGTGATGGAAATGAAGCCAACATGCCCTTCTTCAAATGACGGCAGGAAAGAGAAGAAAGAATGCCTAGCGAAGGGAAAAGCTCCTTGTAAAATCATCAGATCTTTGTGAGAACTAACTCACTATCATGAGAACAGAATAGAGGAAACCACCTCCATTATTCAGTTATCTCCCCTTGGTCCCTCTCATGACATATGGGGATGTGTCAGTTCAAGATGAGATTTGGGTGGGGACACAGCTAAACCATATCAGTCATATGTCTAATTTGTGGGATATTTTCAAAACATGTTCCATTTTCCTATTGCACCACAGTGTGATTGAAAGGAATTAACAGACAGATTGTTGGATGATGAAATTTGGTGCAGCCTCTCTGAAAGGAAATATACTTGATTGTTCAGAGGGCGGAATCTGGACTACTGAGAGTAAATATCTGCATATTAATGATAACAAAAAGGTAATAAAACTGAAAAACATTCATTCTTATGATTTTTAAATCACACTACATTTCCAAATGTTCTGTGGATCTTATTTTTGAAAGTTTTCTATGTAAGAATACGTAAAGAGAAATATCTAGAGTGATCTACAATGAAATATTTTCAGAGCTCCCTGGGAAGTAAAATTTTTGGTCATCACATACTTATTGAACAATAATGTTGATTCTAAGACCATTTTTCAGCAACATGTTTATTACCTGTATTAGGTCTAAGATAAATATACGAATATACAACCTCATGCATATAGACATATGAGTTTGTGTATAATACAGTGCCTGGCATATAGTAGGTGTTTAATGTACGTTAGAATGGTTTATATGTAATTATGCAGATATACAAACATTCATGCATATATACAAACACACTATATAGAATTGATTGTACTGCTTTCAGAGTTTTGGATTTTATGAAAATCTTAAATCTTTTATTTGGCTTTATGCATACACCAAAAGATATATCAAAATGAATGATTTTAAAAGGAAAACAAGGCTGCAAATGAAAAGTAAGGCAGGACTGCTGCTCTTCCAAGTATAGCTCACCAAAGCAAAAATCACTAAAGTAATTACAGGCTTGATTATGGTCTTTAAACTGTCAAAATATTCAATTCCATATACTCTCTATTTTCTCCTGTTTGTGGATTGCCAAAGATAGAGGGAAAAGGATAGAAATATATACTGCTCAATATAGCTATTCTTAGATGATTCTCTCAGGTGGTTAATCACTGGGATTAATTAGCAAGCAGCTACTGTGAGAACTTGATCTTTTTCCTTCATTCTTAGTCTTACATCACCAGGTATTTTCTAAAATCAGCCTGAGCACATCCATAAATTAAGTATCAAAGCTTGTCACTGAGGGAAGAATACTCACAGGTATCCATCCTGACAGTAGGAGTCGCGCTTTGTGTGCTAAGTGAGGCGGTGACTCGAAAAATACATTTGTTTCCACCCACGCCATCTCCCACTGACAAATGCTGTTCCTCTCAGGGCCAAAATTCTAGAATTATATTTCAACAAATAGATTTACTAAAAAAAAAAAAAAAAAAAAAAAAAAGAAAAAGAAATAAGAGAAAATTAAAAGTTAAAAAAAAACTGCCAGAGTTATAGCACCTGCCTAAAATTGGTTATCTAGTTGTTCCCCTACCCCAAAAACAGTACTTTCTAAAGCAATCTAGTGTTGCTGTCTCAAACCAGGGCACATGTCTAAATGGGCCCATAGTTAAACACATCTGGTCATAGGGCTGGTAGACTTGCTGGAACTATATAAAACATCTATTCTTTTATAACTCCAAATGCTCAGCTGGTTAAGAATACCGCCTACTTTCTGCCACCTCAATCTGGAGCACCATATCGAGAAGCTTCTCTAGGCTTTCAACACATAACCAACTAGATACCTGAATTGGTATTAAGCATTATCATCATTTTTATCTGTGTTTTTTACAGACAGGGTCTCACTATGTTGCCCTGGCTTATGTGGAGTGGCTATTCACAGGCACCTGCAACTCCTGCGCTCAAGCAATCCTCCTTCCTCAGCCTCCTGAGTAGCTGGGACTACAGGCAGGCCCACTGTGCCCAGTTCACCATTTGTTTTTTAATAAACATTTTTAAGCCTGTGATGGAGCCGTGGGGAGGTGGTGAGAGAACGAGGGATGGGGACAGGTACTACCAAATATACATGACTCATTTCTTCTTCCCGCATGTACCTTATCGTTGAATAAGTTTATTATTTGTCAATCATATTATTAATTTATATATCCATGATTTTGTGTAGAACACCTTTACATTGTACATAAAAATACAGAAGCTGAATATTCATTAGTACATGATTGAAAGAAGGCTGAATAATTGATATCAGGTTTCAAAGAAAAATGGATAACTGGAAGACTAAGAGGTAATACTGAAACCATCTAACTAAAAAGAAATAGTCACTGAGTGCATATGTATGAGGAACTATGCGAGTCACTTTCTGAGAGCTTTTGTTTTCTCCATTATTTCCTCCTCTGACTTGCTTATCTGTAATGGTTATCTGGATTAGAAGGTTGAATATTTTTGAGATCACAGAGAGTCAACCTGAATCACAGTCTTCAGAATGGAAGAACAGTCAGAGGGCTTCCGGGAAAGAACCACAAAGTCATTTACAAAGCAAGATCTATTTGCAAGCCTTTTTCCTTTTTTGAAGCATCAGGAATGATGCTCAAATAAAGTAGATTCAATAAAGTAGATAAAGTAGCTCTCAATAAAGTAGATTATTTCAATAAAGTAGCTATTTCAATAAAGTAGCTCTCAATAAAGTAGATTCAATATGTGGTACACATGTACTTAGAAACTCAAAGTGCTTTGCAATATCATAAAATATTCCCACATAATCACAGTATTTCTGTTTGCAATTATTTTTTAAGGAAGCAAAATAAGTATTTAAGGGGGAGAGAAATTATTTCATGTCACAGAATAAACTAGGCACTCAAGTTTCTGTTTGATTGCCCAGGTTTCTGCTTCACTGGGCAAGGCATCGTAAGTGTGGTTATGAAAACCTCAAAATCATTTCTGTGTGTAAAACACAACTTAACTGAAATAATAATAATACAACATAATAAAACTTTATTGAGTCTTTCATATATCTGCCAGGCATTTATGAAAAGAATTTCATCTTTATGTAATTTTACAACTAGTTTGTGCCAATGATTTGGGCTGCCCTTCAAATATTTCCAAATCTCCTCCAAGGCATATGATAGGATTACACATTTCTGCCCCCTTCAAGTTGAGCGAGGCCATATGGCTTTCGTTGGCCCCCAAAATATAAGCAGTTAAAACCAAGTCAGGGCACAATTAGCTGCTCACACTTTCCCTCTGCCCTGGTGATCAACAAAATCTTATGTGGTGGCTACTCTATCAGCAAAAGTTTCTGAGTGAGAAGGAATGGTGTTAAACCCACAACTGACCCACTAAGGACACGTAGCATAAGTGAGGAAGGAAAACAAACAAGACTGTGTTGTGTCAGACTGTAAAATTTTGGAATTTTTTTGTCACTGCAGCATAACCTGTACTAGCTTATCCTAATTGATAGGTTATCAAATAGATATTATCTACATTTACTGATGAGAATTTGAAAACTCAAATAATACTTATAATATGGCCTAGGTCAAAGAGTCAGTAAAAGAGTGAACTGTGATTTGAACTCAATTCTTTCTGACTTTAGAGTCCAACTCATCACCACTAAACTTATTTCACTAACTTTATTGCTTGCAATAAGTTTACTTTTATGTGATCTTCCTTAGACTTAGTGGTTCTAGGAAAGACTTGTTTTTGACACTGTTTCATTGGAATATATTTTTAAAGCTAAGCTGAAATAATAAAACATATCTTCTATAGCACTTTATGATTTACAAAACATTTTCACATATATTGTTAACTCATTGTTTCCTCACAATAAACCTGTGACTTAGGCAGGGCAGGTATATTATCCCACTGTTACAGCTGAAGAAAATCTAGGTAGCAAAAAATCAATAGCTAATTGATATTCCAAGGTCATATAGCTAGGCAATGACAAACTCTGGAATCAGAACCCCATTCTCAAGAATTCTACTTTAGTAATAGCAGCAGGAGGGATGTCTGTAGAGGCTGATTCCTGGCACAATAGAGAGAAGCTGGTTGTTAAACTCAGCTCTGCAATTTGCAATTTCATTTTGCCATCAGGGTCATTGATAACATTTTCAAAGCACTCTTCATCATAATCAGTGGTAAAAATAGCATTGATTAATAATGCCATAAAACAGTAGAGCAATTCAAGTTTAGATAGTAAAATGATAACAAGAAGTTAACCCAAACCGCGTCCTAAACCTATAGGGACATACTTTATAAATACAGCTTATTTCTGATCCTTTAATTATCACCTGTGTCCAGACACACTGGATCGTGTCTATAATCTCAGCACTTTGCCAGGCCAAGGTGGGAGGATTGCTTGAGCCCAGGAGTTCGAGACCAGCCTAGGCAACATAGTGAAACGCCATGTAGAAACGAAAAAATAGCTGGGTATGGTGGCATGCACTTGCGATCTTAGCTATTTGGGAGGCTGAGGTGGGAGGATCACCTGCGCCCAAGGAGGTCAAGACTGCAATGAGCCATGATCACACCACTGCACTCCATCCTAGGCAACAGAGCAAGACTGTCTCAAAAGCAAACAAAGAAACAAACAAACATCACTTGAAAATTTCTAAAAGACATAGATTATCAATAAGGAAAAACTTTATATTGTCCAGAAAATTTGCTGGATTTTTGTGTAAAAGCAAACATTCTAATAATTTGACAATGTGACTTTGCTGTTATTTTTTTAACTTAAAAAAAAGCAATTTGTCCCATTGATAATAATTTCAAAGGTTTATTTCAATGAAGGGTTATTCATCACTAATTAAGAATATGCTTGATTAAATGTTTTATAACTTCATTTTATTTTTATTTTATGTGGCTAAAACTATTTTTTCAGCCTGTAGTTATTAAATGTGGTATAATAAAAAATTCTGAAAGTGCCACAAGAATATATGTCAATTTCAGCCTGATGGTGCTTACACTTTTATAGAATGTTGACAGAATCATTTTTGTAAATGTTGTCTGGAAAGGAAATGAGAGGGCTTTGGGGTTTTTGGGGTGCTGTCCCCTTTCAATTTTGAACAAAAGATATTGTTTCACTAGGCTAACTTCACAGCAAGTAGCTGAGTCAGGGCTAGAACCCAGAATTCAAAAATATTTGTCTCCCTGTCATTGAATCACACTGTACTCAAATGGTTAGCTCTCTCTTATGTTAGTATAGCATGGCTTACCAGATCATCTAGGGTTGTTAACATTTAGTCTTACATCACAGAGAAGAAGGCTGGAATATTTTATGTAATAAACTCCATTTGTAGCACCACTGGAATTTCAAATATCGTCTGAAGCCACCAACAGATTAGCTTCAGACATAGCAAAAACTTAGGACTGAGGCACACATTTTGCAGTTCTCTTGAATAAGAAAGTTTGTATCCACATTTTAAGTGTCAGACACGTTGCTAATTATGATTTTAGCATGTCTCTGATGAAGGGAGTAAAATAATTCTGGTAAATGCATTGAACTCGTATGTTGCATGATTTTCCTTGATCTCTTTAGATTTGCAAAAGTATTAGTATACAGGTCTTTTGACCTTGTTCTTGATGTATTTTTAAATGACATTTATAATTCTCATGTATTTTCTTAAATGCATATGTTTGTATTTATATCGATATAGACATTTAATTTGTATATACATCTACATCTGTATCTATATATATCCCTATATACATCTTATATATACAGGTATGCATAGATACATACATATATAGATAATTGTGTATGTAAATACATATATGTATACAAAGATGTATATATAGACACATACATATAGATATCTAGATATAGACTATATCTTTACATATACAGACATAGATATACACATGTGGATACTTATATGCTTATAGAGATGTAGAAGGATGTATTATGTATATGTGAAACACTGCAAGCAAATATCTTGAATTAAATAACTTCCATCCCTCAAGGCCTGCCTCAAATGTTAAATTCCCCTAAAGAGCCTCTTCTCCAAATGGAAATTGTTGCTGCCTCCTTTGAGCCTCTTAACAGTACTCTTCTCAGGAAACTTTTTTCAATCAACTTTGGAATAATATTAATGAGAGCTCACAACTGTTGATGTGCCAACAGTACCTAATTCACTTTATCTCCAACTGAAATCTGAGAAGTAGCTATGTTATTCTCTTCATTTGAAGGAAGAGAAAATCTAAGACAAAGAAGTTGAGAGACTTTCCCAGTATCAATATAAAAAAAAATGCAAAGGAGGAATCTGAACTAAGGTCTGTCTGACTCCAATGCTTCATGTATTGTTTAGTCTCATTAATTAATTAATTAACTAATTCACATTATTTATTGAGGCTTACTAAAGGCTGTACCAAGTTCTAGGCAGTGTGGTAGGCTGAGGCTCCAGTGTTAAGAGTACATACATGCAGCAGCAAGCATCCTAACAGGAAGCCAAAACCAGGGACATCTGACAGGCAGAAACTGACAGTTATTAATTAAAGGATTATTAACTCTATTTTAAGGCAACTTCGGCAGCTACAAAGTGAAACAGGAAATGTTTGAAAGAAGAGTTACAGAGTACATGTCCCCAGTTCTTCATATAAACTCCAACTAACTGTCTGGATAATCATGAACTATCCATGTGTGGAACAGAATCCAAGATTACTAGCTAAGACAAATGAACTGAATAGAACTCTCAGAGATAGGAAACAGTGTACAGTGTTTGAGTTCAGCAGCCTACTTTTATAAATTTTACATTCTTGAGAAGACCAGAATAGAATCCGCAGTATCCGTAACAAATTATTGACAATATTTGGGATACAATCCAAAGTACAATGTATAAAGAAACTGAAAAACACTTTCCATACTCAATACAAAAGACAATCAATGGAGACTGACCCAAGATGAGCCAGAATTTGGAATTGGCAAACATTTTAAAGCAACCATTATAACTATAGATGTAAATGACAGTAAGATCATAAACAATAAAAAGCCTCGAGAGGCTGAGGTGGGAGGATTGCCTGAGCTCAGGAGGTTGAGACTGCAGTGAACCATGATTGCACCACTGTGCTCCAGCCTGGCCAGCAGAAAAATAAAAGCTATAGAAAGAATCAAGTGGAAATTAGAGGACCAAAAAACACAATGTCTGAAGTATAAAATTCACTTGATATATTTAAAAGAAGATTTGAGATGACAAAAGGAGATCATTAAGATAGATTCATAGACATATCCAATCTGAAAAATGGAGGGAAAAAGATTGGAAATGTTGAGCAGGAACTCAGAGATTTGTGGAGAGATAGCAAATGGTCTCACATGTGTAGTTGAAGGCCTAGAGGAGATCAGAAACAAAATGGAGGAGAAAAAAATTTCTTAAATTTGATGAAAGGCAAAAATTATGTGTTTCAGAAAACTCAGCAAAGTCTATGAAGTATAAATGCAAAGAAAACTACATTTGGTTTATCATAGTTACCTTACTGAAAAACAAAGATGAGAAAAATATTTAAAGTAGCTAAAGAAATATGACACGTTATGTAAGAGAGAATCAATTGTCTCTCAGTCAAAAAGATATCAACTATTGCTGAAGAATTATCAGAAACAATGGTGGTAAGAAGACAGAGGAACAATATATCTGAAGTTCTGAGAGAAGGATTAAAAATCTGTCAACAAAAAATTACATATATAGGCTGGGTGCGGTGGCTTACACCAGTAATTCCAGCACTTTGGGAGGCCGAGACAGGCAGATCATCTGAGGTCAGGAGTTGCAGACCAGCCTAGCCAACATGGTGAAACCCCATCTCTATTAAAAATACAAAAATTAGCTGGGCATGTTGGTGGGCGCCTGTAATCTCAGCTGCTGGGGAGGCTGAGGCAGGAGAATCGCTTGAACCCGGGAGCCAGAGGTTGCAGTGAGCCGAGATCGTGCCACTGTACTCCAGCCTGGGTGACAGAGCAAGACTCTGTCAAAACAAAACAAAAAAAATAAAATTACATATATAAAAATATCACTACACAATGAAAATTAAATACAAACATTTTCATAGTAATAAAATCTATATGTGTGACTTGCAAACACGCACGTGAAAGAAATGCCACAGGAAGTTCTGACTGAAGGCAAATGATCCTGGATGAAATTTGAATCTTCAGAAAAGATCACTAGACATCATAAATATGTAAGTATAAACACGAGAAAATGCGGTATTTGGTTTTCTCTTTCTGCATTAGTTTGCTTAGGTAATGACCTCCAGCTGCATCCATGTTGCTGCAAAGGACAAATTATTCACGTGTAGAAATACTTTTTTTTTTGCTGTGTAGGTTTCATGGTGTATATGTATCACATTTTTAAAAAATCATATCCACTGTTGATGGGCACCTAGATTGATTCCATGTCTTTGCTACCATGAACAGTACTGCAATAAATGTATACATGTGTCTTTTTGCTAGAAAGATTATTTTCCTTTGGATACATACCCAGTAATGAGATTGCTGGGCTGAATGGTAGTTATATTTTTAATTCTTTAAAACTGCTTTCCAAAAAGGCTGAACTAATTTGCATTCCCACCAGAATTGTACAAATAAGTGTTCTCTTTTCTCCACAACTTTCCCCAAATGTTTTATTTTTTGACTTTTTAATAGTGGCCACTCTGACTGCTGTGACATAACATCTCAAGGTGGCTTTGATTTTCATTTCTCTGAACTTTAGTGATGCCGAACAATTTTTCATGTTTATTAGCTGTTTGTATGTCTTCTTTTGAGAAGTGTCTGTTCATGTCCTTTGCCCACTTTTTAGAGGGGTCGTTTGCTTTTTCCTTAGATGATTTTTAAGTTCCTTATACATAAATCCTGGATATTAATCTTTTGTCAGATGCATAGTTTGTAAATATTTTCTCCCATTCTGTAGGTTTTCCATTTGCTCTGTTGAGAGTTTTTTTGTTTGTTTCTGTACAGAAGTTCTTTAGTTTAATTAAGTCTCAATTGTCTATTCTGATTTTGCTGCATTTGCTTTTGAGGTCTTCATCATAAATTCTTTGCCTAGGCCAGTGTCTAGAATACTATTTTCTGTTTTTCTCTAGAATTTTTATACTTTGAGGTCATTCATTTAAGTCTTTAATTCATCTTTCTTTTTTTTAATTATTATTATACTTTAAGTTTTAGGGTACATGTGCACAATGTGCAGGTTTTTTATATATGTATACATGTGCCATGTTGGTGTGCTGCACCCATTAACTCGTCATTTACATTAGGTATATCTCTTAATGCTATCCCTCCCCCCTCCCCCCAATCCACAACAGTCCCCGGTGTGTGATATTCCCCTTCCTGTGTCCATGTGTTCTCATTGTTCAATTCCCACCTATGAGTAAGAACATGCGCTGTTTGGTTTTTTGTCCTTGTGATAGTTTGCTGAGAATGATGGTATCCAGTTTCATCCATGTCCCTACAAAGGACATGAACTCATCCTTTTTTATGGCTGCATAGTATTCCATGGTGTATATGTGACACATTTTCTTAATCCAGTCTATCATTGTTGGACATTTGGGTTGGTTCCAAGTCTTTGCTATTGTGAATAGCACTGCAATAAACATATGTATGCATGTGTCTTTATAGCAGCATGATTTCTAATCCTTTGGGTATATACCCAGTAATGGGATGGCTGGGTCAAATGGTATTTCTAGTTCTAGATCCTTAAGGAATCACCACACCGACTTCCACAATGGTTGAACTAGTTTACAGTCCCACCAACAGTGTAAAAGTGTTCCTATTTCTCCACATCCTCTCCAGCACCTGTTGTTTCCTGACTTTTTAATGATCGCCATTCTAACTGGTGTGAGATGGTATCTCATTGTGGTTTTGATTTGCATTTCTCTGATGGCCAGTGATGATGAGCATTTTTTCATGTGTCTGTTGGCTGCATAAATGTCTTCTTTTGAGAAGTGTCTGTTCATATCCTTTTCCTCCTTTTTGATGGGGTTGTTTGTTTTTTTTCTTGTAAATTTGTTTGAGTTCATTGTAGATTCTGGATATTAGCCCTTTGTCAGATGAGTAGGTTGCAAAAACCTACTCATCTGACAAAGGGCTAATATCCAGAGCTAATATTTGTATATGGTGAGAAGTGGGCTACAATTTCATTCTTCTTCACACAGTTGGCCAGTTTTCCCAGCACCGTTTGTTGAATAGGGTGTCCTTTCCTGCATTGTTTATTTGTGTTGACTTTGTTTTAAGTGTGTGGCTTTACCTGAGGGGACTCTGTTATGTTCCAGTGGCCTCACTGCTTATTTTTGTGTCAGTACGATGCTGTTGAGGTTCCTTCAGCCTTATAGTATAGTTTAAAGTGCGATTTGTCTTTTTTTTTTTTTTTTAGGATTACCTTGGCTGTTCAGACTGTTGTTTTGTTTGTTTCATATGAATATTAGAATAGTTTTTTCTAATTCTGTGAAAAATGATGTTAGTTTCGTAAAATAGCATTGAATCTGTAAATTTATTTGGGCAATATCGACCTGTTAACAATATTGATTCTTCCAACCTATGAGCATAGCATGCTTTTCCATTTGTTTGCGTTGTCTGTGATGTCTTTCAGCAGTGTTTTATAGTTCTCTCTGTAGAAATCTTTCACCTCCTTGGTTAGGTGCATTCCTAGGTAATTTTTTTTGTAGCTATTGTAAAAGGGACTGTATTGATTTATTTTTTAGCTTGAATGTTATTGGTGTATAGAAATGCTACTACTGATTTTGGATGTGATTTCATATCCTGGGATTTTGATGAAGTCATTTATCAGGTCTAATAATCCTTCGGCGGAATCTTTAGTGTTTTCTAGTTATAGAATCTCGTTGTCAGGGAAGATAGATAATTTGACTTCTCCTTGTTCTATTTGGATACCTTTTTATTTCTGTCTCTCACCTCACAGTTCTGATTAGGACTTCTGCTACTATGCTGACTAGGAGTGGTGACAGCGGGCATCCTTGTCTTGTTTCAGTTCTCAAGTGAAATGCTTCCAGCTTTTGCCTGTTCAGTATTATGTTGGCTGTGGATTTTTCATAGATGGCCTTATTATTTCTGAGGTATGTTCCTTCAGTGCCTAGTTTGTGGAAGATTTTTATCTTGCAATGATGTAAGATTTTAGTGAATGCCTTTTCTGCATCTATTGAGATGATCATATAGTTTTTGTTTTTCATATTGTTTATCTGATGAATCACATTTATTGATTTGCATAAGGTGAATCATCCTTGCATCCCAGGAATAAAGTATACATGATTGTAGTGAATTAACTTTTTGAAGTGCTGCTGGATTTGGTTTGCTAGCATTTTGTTAAGAATTTTTGCCTCTACGTTCATCAGGGACATTAGTCTATAGTTTCCTTTTTTTTTTGTTGCTGTGTCTTTGCCAGATTTTGCTGTCAGGATGATGCTGGATTTGTAGAATGATTTAGGGAGGAGTCCCCCCTCCTCAATTTTTTTGAATAGTTTCAGTAGGATTGGTAACAGCTCTTCTTTGTACATCTGGTAGAATTTGGCTGTTAATTGATCTGGTCCTGGGCTTTTTTAGGTTGGTAGGTTTTTATTATTTATTCAATTTCACTACTCATTATTTGTCTGTTCAGGATTTCTCTTTGTTCCTGGTTCAATTTTGGGAGGTAGTGTGTTTCCAGTAATTTATCCATTTCCTCTAGATTTTCTAATTTTTACACATAGAGATGTTCATAGTAGTCTCCAGGATCTTTTGTATTTCTGTGGGACTGGTTATAATGTCACCTTTGTTATTTCCGATTGCACTTATTTGTATCTCCTCTTTGTTTATCTTTGCTAATCTAGCTAGCAGTCTATCCATCTTGCTTATCATTTAAAAAAACACACTTTTTGTTTCAATGATCTTTTGTATGGCTTTTGGGGTCTCAATTTCACTTAGTTCTGCTCTGAGTTTATTATTTTTTTTTCTTCTAGCTTTGGGTTAAGTTTGTTCTTGTTTTTCTAGTTCCTTTAGGTGTGATGTTAAATTATTAATTTGAGATCTTTTGATCTTCTTTATGTTGCCATTTAGCACTATAAACTTTCCTCATAACACTGCTTTTGCTGCATCCCAGAGGTTTTGGTATGTTGTGTCTCTATTTTCATTTGTTTCAAATAACTTTTTGATTTTGGTCTTAATTCTGTTGTCTACCCAAAAGTCATTCAGGAGTAAGTTTTTTGTTTGTTTGTTTTTGTTGTTGTTTGTTTGTTTTTAGCTTAATTGTATTTTTTATTTGAGTGTCCCTCTTGGTATTGATTTTTATTTTTATTTCCTTGTTTTCTGAGAAGATGCTTGATATAATTTCAATTTTTAAAAATTTATCGAGACTTGTTGTCTGACCAAGCATGTGGTCCATCTTTGAGTATGTTCCACATGTAGTTTAGCAGAATGTATATTCTGTGGTAGTTGGGTGCCATATTTTGTGAATTTTTATTAGGTCCAATTGGTCAAGTGTCAAATTTAAGTTCATAATTAGTTAGTGCTATGCCTTGATGCTCTGTCTAATGCTATTAGTGGGATACTGAAGCTTACCACTATTACTGCGTGGCTGTCAACATCTTTTATTAGGTCTAACAGTAATTGTTTTACAAATCTGGGTGCACCAATGTTTAGTGCATTTATATTTGCTAGAGCAAGAACCTTAACTAATGCCATCTGCAGTTTAGGTCCCATGAATTTTCTTTAGATTACTTCCAGGATTTTTGAACTAATCTCCAGTGTTCTGGTCTTCCCATCTGTTTCCATGTCTCCGCATCCTACCTACAGATCTCCCAGTAGCTGCAGGTCACAGAGCCACAGAGGCTGCAGCAGAACGACCTGGGGCCTCTAGGAGTGGCAGAGACACAGCAGTGAAGATGGGACCCAGGGCTGACAGTTGGGTGCATATATATTTAAAATAGTTAAATCTTCTTGTTAAAATGAACCCTTTATCATGGTGTAATGCTCTTTGTCCTTTTTTACTGTTGCTGGCTTAAAGTCAATTTTATCTTATACAAGCATAGTGAACCCTGCTCCCTTTAGTTTTCCACTGAAGCAAGACATTTTAGAATGATCTAAGGGTCAATTCTTTGCTAGGACAAAACAATTATATTTTGCATGCACATAGTAGCAGAGCTTCGAAATGCATAAAGCTCCTTTTGACAGAATTGAAGGGAGAAATATATAAATACACTTGGAGATTTAACACTTCCATTCAGTTATTGACAAAACAGTGAGACAAAAATGTTAGTAAAGGCACAGAAGATCTGAACAACACTATGGACCACATCGACTTAATTGACATGTATGGAACACTACCCCCAAGAACTTCAGAATACACATTCTTTTCAAGTGCATATAGCACATTCACTGAAATTCTAATATAAATTAAGTTCTAAGTATAATGCCTACCACCATGAAATTAAAATAGAAATCAATATATTTTGAAAATCCCCAAATATTTGAAAATTCATCAACATGAGATACTGTTATGAAAATAAGCAAGCTGGCCGGCACGGTGGCTCACACTTGTAATCCCAGCACTTTGGAAGGCCGAGGCAGGAAGGTCACCTGAGGTCAGGAGTTTGAGACTAGCCTGGCCAACATGGTGAGACCCCATTTCTTCTAAAACTATGAAAATTAGCTAGGCGCGGTGGTGCATGTCCGTAATCGCAGCTACTCGGGAGGCTGAGGGGAGAGAATCACTTGAGCCCTGTGCCTGGGAGGCAGAGGTTGCAGTGAGCTGACATCGCATCACTGCATTCCAGCCTGGGAAACAGAGCAAGCAGAGCGAGACTCAGTCTCAAAAAAAAAAAAAAAAAAAAAGCAATGGGCTGGAAAATATTTCCAAACATATATCTGGCAAAACAAGTATCCTGAATACAGAAATAAATTGTAAATACCAGTAATAAGAAGATAAACAATCTAATTAAAAATAGGAAAAGAGTATGAACATAAGGATTGCCAAAAGAACAAAAACAAGTGCTGAACATTATTAGTTATCAGAGAAATGTAAATTAAACTACAGTGAGATACTACTACATACCCACCAGAATGGCTAAAGTTAAAAAGCTTGACCACTTCAAATGTTAGTGACAATGCGAATCAACTAGAACTCTCATGCATTTTTGGTGTGAGAGTAAAATATGACAACCGCTTTGGAAAAATGTTGGATAGTTTCATATAAAACTAAACAATCATCCATCAATTCTGTTTCTAGATATTTACTCAAGATAAATTATAATATTTTTTCACAAAAAGACTTATACAAGAATATTTACAGCATCTTTTTTCACAATAGACAAAGACTGAAAACAATCTAGGTATCCATCAATAAGAGAATGACTTAAACACACACACACACACATTGTATGCATGTTCATATAATGAAATACTATTTAACACTGAAAAGAGAGGAACTAATGCTACACACAAAAACATGGATAAACCTCAAAAATAATAGCTACATAAAAGAAACCTTACCCAGAAGAGTACATACTGAATGATTTCATGTACATGAAATTTTAAAACAGGCAAAATTAATCATGATGAAATGTAATCAGAAAGGGGACTGCCTCTGGGGGTGGCAGGAATGGGATTGATTAAGAAGGAGCATAAAGAACTTTTCTGAACTGATGGAAATGCTTTATGTTTTGTTAGGATTTGGATTCCATGGGCGTATTTATACTGAATGGTACAGTTAAGATGAGTGTTATTTTAGGAGGGTGCCTTCTCCATTATCACAGAAGGGAAGGAGAAAATTGAGCTGTTTTCCTTTTATACAATAATGTTCAGGGACTGAGTTTCATTATCTTTGATTCCTCATCATCACCAGCAAACTGCTCTCAGAAATATTCTTCTTAGCAAATGTTAGATAAATATATATGCTTCTGTTATTTTCTTTTCCTGTTTTGTTCTGTGTTCAACATTTTTATAAACTACAGTAATAGTGAGCTCATTGATGCCATTGTCAAGTAATTTAATGGGTACATATTAGTTTTAGTTCTCACCAAATTTATGTAGTTCATGTGATACACAGTAACAAATACATAGCTTTAAAAAGGTAAGGTCAATAGCTTATACTTTCGACCTGCTCATAAAAATGCCAACAAGAGAAAGCAGGAACGATCTAAAATTGACACCCTAACATCACAATTAAAAGAACTAGAGAAGCAAGAGCAAACACATTCAAAAGCTAGCAGAAGGCAAGAAATAACTAAATCAGAGCAGAACTGAGGGACATAGAGACACAAAAAACCCTTCAAAAAAACAATGAATCCAGGAGCTGGTTTTTGGAAAAGATCAACAAAATTGATAGACCACTAGCAAGACTAATAAAGAAGAAAAGAGAGAATAATCAAATAGATGCAATAAAAACTGATAAAGGGGATATCACCACCAATCCCACAGAAACACAAACTACCATCAGAGAATACTATAAACACCTCTATGCAAATAAACTAGAAAATCTAGAAGAAATGGATAAATTCCTGGACACATACACCCTCCCAAGACTAACCCAGGAAGAAGTTGAATCCCCGAATAGACTAATAACAGGCTCTGAAGTTGAGGCAATAATTAATAGCCTACCAACCAAAAAAAGTCCAGGACCAGATGGATTCACAGCCGAATGCTACCAGCGGTAGAAGGAGGAGCTGGTACCATTCCTTCTGAAACTATTTCAATCAATAGAAAAAGAGGGAATCCTCCCTAACTCATTTTATGAGGCCAACATCATCCTGATACCAAAGCCTGGCAGAGACACAACAAAAAATGAGAATTTTAGACCAATATCCCTGATAAACATCGATGCAAAAATACTCAGTAAAATACTGGGAAACGGAATCCAGCTGCACATCAAAAAGCTTATCCACCATGATCAAATGGGCTTCATCCATGGGATGCAAGGCTGGTTCAACATATGCAAATCAATAAACATTATCCAGTATATAAACAGAACCAAAGACAAAAACCACATGATTATCTCAATAGATGCAGAAAAGACTTTTGACAAAATTCAACAGCACTTCATGCTAAAAACTCTCAATAAATTAGGTATTGATGGGACATATCTCAAAATAAAAAGAGCTATTTATGACAAACCCACAGCCAATATCATACTGAATGGGCAAAAACTGGAAGCATTCCCTTTGAAAACTGGCACAAGACAGGGATGCCCTCTCTCACCACTTCTATTCAACATAGTGTTGGAAGTTCTGGCCAGGGCAATCAGACAGGAGAAAGGAATAAAGGGTATTCAATTAGGAAAAGAGGAAGTCAAATTGTCCCTGTTTGCGGATGACATGATTGTATATCTAGAAAATCCCATCATCTCAGCCCAAAATCTCCTTAAGCTGATAGGCAACTTCAGCAAAGTCTCAGGATACAAAATCAATGTGCAAAAATCACAAGCATTCTTATACAGCAATAACAGGCAAACAGAGAGCCAAATCATGAGTGAACTCCCATTCACAATTGCTTCAAAGAGAATAAAATACCTAGGAATCCAACTTACAAGGGATGTGAAGGACCTCTTCAAGGAGAACTACGAACCACTGCTCAATGAAATAAAAGAGGATACAAACAAATGGAAGAACATTCCATGCTCATGGATAGGAAGAATCAATATCGTGAAAATGGCCATACTGCCCAAGGTAATTTATAGATTTAATGCCATCCCCATCAAGCTACCAATGACTTTCTTCACAGAATTGGAAAAAACTACTTTAAAGTTCATTTGGAACCAAAAAAGAGCCCACATTGCCAAGACAGTCCTAAGCAAAAAGAACAAAGCTGGAGACATCACACTACCTGACTTCAAACTATACTACAAGGCTACAGTAACCAAAACAGCATGGTACTGGTACCAAAACAGAGATATAGACCAATGAAACAGAACAGAGCCCTCAGAAATAATACCACACATCTACAACCATCTGATCTTTGACAAACCTGACAAAAACAAGAAATGGGGAAAGGATTCCCTATATAATGAATGGTGCTAGGAAAACTGGCTAACCATATGTAGAAAGCTGAAACTGGATCCCTTCCTTACACCTTATATAAAAATTAATTCAAGGTGGATTAAAGACTTAAATATTAGACCTAAAGCCATAAAAACTCTAGAAGAAAACCTAGCCATTACCATTCAGGACATAGGCATGGGCAAGGACTTCATGTCTAAAACACCCAAAGCAATGGCAACAAAATTGACAAATGTGATCTAATTCAAGTAAAGAGCTTCTGCACAGCAAAAGAAACTACTATCAGAGTGAACAGGCAACCTACAGAATGGGAGAAAATTTTTGCAATCTACTCATCTGACAAACGGCTAATATCCGGAATCTACAAAGAACTCAAACAAACGTACAAGAAAAAAACAAATAACTCCATCAAAAAGTGGGCAAAGGATATGAACAGACACTTCTCAAAAGAAGACATTTATGCAGCCAACAGACACATGAAAAAATGCTCATCAGCACTGGCCATCAGAGAAATGCAAATCAAAACCACAATGAGATACCATCTCATACCAGTTAGAATGGCGATCATTAAAAAGTCAGGAAACAACAGGTGCTGGAGAGGATGTGGAGAAATAGGAACACTTTTACACTGTTGGTGGGACTGTAAACTAGTTCAACCATTGTGGAAGACAGTGTGGCGATTCCTCAAGTATCTAGAACTAGAAATACCATTTGACCCAGCCATCCCATTACTGGGTATATACCCAAAGGGTTATAAATCATGCTGCTATAAAGACACATGCACACATATGTTTATTGTGGCACTATTCACAATAGCAAAGACTTGGAACCAACCCAAATGTCCATCAGTGATAGACTGGATTAAAAAAATGTGGCACATATACACCATGGAATACTATGCAGCCATAAAAAAGGATGAGCTCATGTCCTTTGTAGGGACATGGATGAGCTGGAAACCATCATTCTCAGCAAACTATCACAAGGACACAAAATCAAACACCACATGTTCTCACTCATAGGTGGGAATTGAACAATGAGAACACTTGGACACAAGGCGGGGAACATCACACACCAGGGCCTGTCACGGGATGGGGGGAGGGGGGAGGGATAGCATTAAGAGATATACCTAATGTAAATGACGAGTTAATGGGTGCACCACACCAACATGGCACATGTATACATATGTAACAAACCTGCACATTGTGCACATGTACCCTAGAACTTAAAGTATTAAAAAAAAAAAAGGAGTTAGCTGCTGAGTCACATGGTTTAAATGATTGTGTGAGAATTTCACTGATGCAATTTGCAACTGTTAATCAACACCATTTAAGCCTGTTCTGCAAGTCATCAGTTTTAGTGGCTATATAAACCCTAGTGGTTTTGTGAAATAATTTGGATTTGTTATTTCTTGAAGCAACTTTGTTAAAGTCAGCAAATTGGAGGTGGAAATATCTATTAGAAAAAAAATAACAAATATTGGCAAAGGTGCGGGAAAAAAGGAATCCTACTACACAGTTGGTGGAAATGTAAATTGATACAGCCGTTAAGGAAAACAGTATGGAAGTTCATAAAAAAAAAATAGAGCTACCATATAACGCAGTAATCCCTCTTCTGAGTATATACCCAAGTAAATACAAGTCACCACTGTGTAAAGATACCTGCACTCCTGTGTTCATTGCAGCATTTTTCACAATAGCCAATGTATAGAAATAACCTAAGTCCCTATTTATCAGCAAATGAATAAAGAAAAGGATACACACACACAAACACACACACACACACACACACACGTATATATACATATATATATATATATATATATATATATATGGAATGTAACATTAATCCATTATTCAACCTTAAAAAAGAAGGAGATTCTGCCATTCGAGTCCATCTGGTTTCTTTGGATGGACTCGAAGAACATTTTGATAAGTGAAATAAGCCAGATAAAGAAAAAAATATTGCAAATACAAAGAGATAGAGAGTAAAACAGTGGTTGGCAGTGGTTACCATGGGTGAGTTGTGGGTAGGAGAGGAAATGCGGATATGTAGGTCAAAGAATACAAAATAGCAGATATGGAAGATGAACAAGTTTAAATAGCTAATGTATAACATGAAGATTAAAGTTAGTAAAATTGTATTGTATTAGGGATTTTTATTAAATAAGAAGATTTTAGCTGTTCTTGTAACAAAAAGTAACTATGTGAGATGTAAAACGTGTTAACGTATTTCACTATAGTAATCATTTACTATTTGTATGTATCCCATAATATCATATCACCATGTTGTAAACCTCAAATATACACAATAAAATGTATCCAATTTTGTAAAAGCCTAGTCGCTGTAACAGAAGTCAATGGAGGAAGGAGATATCCGCTGGCCAAGCTCCTTGCTTTCAATTCCCCTGACTGACACCCTCTCTCGGGAAGTCGTCCAGGAAAAATGATAAGTCATTCCAGGCCCCATCAGGAAAGCTGTTTGGGTTGGAAGATGATTTTCCTTGTTTTCATCAAACTCTCCCAAAAATGAAGTGAAAATATATATGTATAAAAAAGAAGAAGCTGCAAATCTTCACTCTAAATATTAACTTATTCTTACATTAAACAACAATATCTCTGGCTGTAGGATCTAATTTGTGGTCCTACTCGAAATGATAAATCTTGTCCTGATGTTCTTCATCTACAAAATGTAAAGCTTTTCTTTTGTGTATGACCTCTCTGGGCTCCCTACATTTTATTTTATTCATTTAGCTTTATTTCCACTCCTATTTTCAGAAATCGTGCTTGAGGGTCACTCTTGTTACAGTTTTACTTAGAAATAAGAAGAAAAGGCATTCTTCATACCTTAAATTAAGCATATTCAAAGGGCAAATTAAAATCAACTTAGGTCTAAAAAATTTCTACAGGTGAAACAAACTCATCCAGTGTTAGCTGAGACATTGTCTTCTCATTTTGAGGTTTCTGAAACTCTGTATGTCTGTGTGTGTTTGTATATGTGTCTATCAGGTGTATAAGTGTTTTCTTATAAGGTTGACTGAGATATAACTTTCATAATACTTTGTCATTGGGCCAATTTAGCTTTCTTCTGTAACATTTTTTTTAAAAAAAACAATGTTTCAGGCCTATATTACTAGACTAGTTTTAATAAAAATCTTATACTTTAGCATTATTTCAGTAAATACAGTGCTCCATAAATGTGTGTCTTAAAGATGAGGGCATTGCTAAGGCCAGTGTCATAGATTAAATTGTGGCCCCCTACTGTTGATCAGTTTCCGTGCAAAGCCCCAGTACCTCAGAATGTGACTTTACTTGGAAATAGTCATTGTGTATATAATCGGTTAAGATGGAACTCATCCTGGAGTAAGGTGACTCCTAATCTAATGTGAATGGTATCCATATAAAAGGGAAAATTTGAACACAGACACACATATACGGGATAATTTCATGTGAACATGAAGAAAAATACTAGGCAAGGAAAGCCAAAGATCGCCAGCAAACCCCTCAAAGCTAAGAGACAGGTGTGGAAAATATTTTCCCGCCTAGTCCTCACACAGAACCAATCCTGACAACACCTTGATTTTGGATCTCTAGCTTCCATAACTGTGAGACAATAAGTTTTTCTAGTTTTAAGTCATCAGTTTGTGTCACTTTGTTCAGGAACCCTAAGAAGTAGAAAGAGAAATAAAAGGGTCAGTTATAAAGTGGCCAAGAAGAGGGAGAACAGAAGTTATACCCAAGGAGGAGTAAGTTATTCTTGTTGAATCTTGCTGACAAGTCTTGCTGACAAGCCACTTTACTCATGAGAAATGCCATGCGAACATGCATGTCTGTGTGGGTGGTCTCTACTTTACAGACTCCTGGGTCTCTCTCCCAGCTGGTACGCTACATGCCACCACCAAACCTGGTTGTTAGAAATTGAAAAGGGTAGCAGCGGGAGGATTCCCACCACTGTGAAGCCACTGGAGAACAATGAAGGATTAGGATTGTTAGTGATGGAAGTCCCTAGGGTAAGGAATTTGGAGGCTTTTTCCACCTCATCAAAGCTCTTCTACTTTATGACCCTCTCTCTCCCATACCTTTTTCTTAACATTGAACTTTGATTCCTAGAATTTTTTTTTTTAAGAGACAGGGTTGTGCTCTGTCACCCAGCTAGAGGGCAGTGGTATGATAATAGTTCACTGTAGCCTCCATCTCCTGTGCTTAAGCAGTCCTCCTTTCTCAGCCTCCCAAGTAACTGGGACTACAGCTGCACAATACTTACTGAACCTGGCTAATTTTTTCATTTTTTATAGAAACAAGGGTCTCACGTTGTTGGTCAGGCTGGTCCTGAACTCCTGGGCCCAAGAGATCTTCCCACCTCAGCCTCCCAAAGTGCTGGGATTACAGGCATAAGCCACCATGCCTGGCCTGAGTCCTAGCATTAAGACTATGTCTTCTGTTTCTTTTGTCCTATTTATTGACCGGCATGACCCTCAGATATTCTGAATAAATTGTGTTTGGAATTTAGGTTTGTTTTTTTGGTTTCAGAAGTGGTTAATAAAAAAAAAAAAAGAACGGCAAGTTAAATAAACTTTTATTTTAAAATTTAAAATGGTGAGGGTTATCACAATACAGTCAGAAGTAACTGACCAAAAATTTAAGTAACATTGATAGAGGACTGTTTCCTTCTATTTCTCAGATCTGCCTTCTTTTCTTGGTGGGAGTTTTAAAGCAATTGGGGGCCATATTGAAAACCCCCTCCTCCTTGTGGTGGCTCCTTAGAAAGTCCTGGCATTCGCTCTGATTAGACCAACGTGGATCATGTGTCTATTTATGAGCCAGTCACTGTGAAAATTGTTCAGATTGACTTGGGCTTAGATGGCATACATTTATCTGAAGTTCTGATGGAGCATGGATTAAAGTCATGGAGAGATGCTTTACCAAGAAAATTAAGGGGTTGTAATCAGAATAAAGGGAAAATGATTGTTGTTATTAAATATGAAAGAATTCTGCTCACATCATCTTAAAATAGGTTAATATGAACTCTGTAGAAGGTACTGTGCAAGGTACTGAGCATTCAGAGTTGAATTAGACATGGTCCTACTTTTGAGAGGTTTATAGTCTACTGAGAAGACAACTGTATAAGGCAATAAGTATACTAGTGTGTTATGTGTTTTGTAACAGCAGTGCAAGTGAAGTGGTAAATGAAAAGAGAGGACGTAAAAGTTACTAGTATTCACTCCATCTGGGGTATGGCAGGTCTTGGAGTTGGTGGAGATGTTTGAAAACACTCCACATAATGAGTTTTTTTGAACTGGATTTGACAGATAAATGAGGGTAAAAGAGATGGGGATGGAGAGGGAAGCATTAAATCAGAAGAACAAAATATTTCTACCAGTTACAAATAGGAGATATAGCTTCTGTGAGGATGGCCTGCCACCACTAAACTGTTAAAATGATTAGACTTAAAACATTCATCTCTGGCTGTTTATGTGCCTGTCCAAACCAGAGCTTATGTTTGGTTTCATTTCTTTTTGAGAATTTTAATCACATACAATTATGGCATATACTATATTTATTGTGTGGAGGTGATCAAGAGTGGAGTCTGACAGACAAATGTATTTAAGTGATAAAGAATTAACTCATCTAATCCTTATAACAAAGCTGTCTTATGAACATATAAACAGTCATTAATTTCATGCCAATGCCCTTTGTGTTTCCATGTTATTTCTACTTATTTTATGTGGGGATATCACTTTTTGTGGTTAAATACTCTAATTCACTGGAATGTTAAAATATTAAATTCAGAGTCCTATTGATGTTTTTATAATAATAGTTAATGGTAGTGCCTTTAATCCAAATAAGTTTGTATTTTAACCTTGGATTCCAACACCAGCTGTGTGATCTTGTAAAATTACTCAGACTCTCTGGGCCTCTATTCTATCATTAAAGTGATTATAATAGTATAATCCCTTAGGATTTTTATGGCGATTAAAGACATAATATATGCAAGTGCTTAGTAGAATCTTTGGGACAAAATAAATGTTTATTAAATGTGACTGCTAGAATGACAATAAAAGCAATTTGATGGTTTAATAACCAAATCACTGTTGAAATGGATTACCATAGACCCATTTTGCTCAGAATGCTGATCTTCATTATTCTAATTAAAGATAATTCAATCATAGAGCCCCATTTTAAAAAAATGAATTTTTTCATAGAGCATTGATCACAGGATTGGGTGTGACAGTGTCCCAATCTTAGTTCTTTCACGGTTAGGTTTTGTTATGAACCCAAAGCTTCCTCTTAAGACTTCAGTTTTTGCATTCATAAAATGACATTAATGACCTCTACTGCCTTTTAAATAAAAAAATTATATATTTTTAATACCATAAGTAGCCCTTTACAATAGCCCTTCTTGCTCACTAGCCTGTGGTTTTATCAAAAACATTTTGTTTTGTATAGTATATTCAGGCATTACATCGGAATATGAAAGTGCTGATTCAGCAAATGTGTTAAAGTTTCATTTTATGGTGAAGCATTTTATGAGAGTATGTGCATTAAACATCAAGTACAGAAAGCGCATACCCATTTAAGTGTAAATATATGTATATGTGACATTTATCCTCCTATAAATAAGCCTGTGGATATACAAAAAAAGCAAAATATGATAAATATTTATTTCCTAAGCCTAGCTCTAAAAGATTTCACTTCCAAGCACTGTGAGCCTACCAGACAAATGCTGGCCTAAACTGAAAACTTTGAAATGTGCCTTAGGAGACAGGAGATTTTGATTTTGTAGCAATGATGCAGAGGGCCAATGTCAATGTAGCTCTCCTTCGAAGCATTTTGACTCAATAGCGAGGTCCATTTTCACATATGATTCTGATGACATTACCTAAGTGGAAAAGGATCCTCTTCCTATAGTACCAGATCAATCTAAATGCTTTTGATAGTCTTCAGAAAGAAGAGCCAAGTACATTAAACAAAGTGAAGTCCTGGGGACTCAACAAAGCCTTCTAGCCTAAATGTATTAAGAGATTGTCTGAAGCAACAATTTCACTATCATGGCAGATGTGTTTATTTGGTTTTGATGCTGATATATATCCTCTTGTATTATCCATCAATGGGAAAAGGGTTGGACACCACTAATGTACACTATGATCAAAAAATAAATACAATAGAACAATAACAAAAAAGAAAAACCAATTTTCTTAGAAGGTCATCTGAACTTAGTATACATTATTTTATTATTCATTTATTTTAGAGAGAAGGTCTTACTCTCTTGCCCAGGCTGAACACAGTGGTTGTGATCACAGCTCTTTGTAACCTTGAATTCCTGGGCTTAAGTGATCCTCTGCCTCAGCCTTTCCAGTAGCTGGAGACTACAGGTGTGGGCCACCATGCCCACCTAATGGATATCAGGTTTTGCTATGTTGCTCAAGCTGGTCTCGAACTTCTGTCTGTAAGTGATCCTCCTGCTTCAGTCTCCAAAAGCACTGAGATTACAGATGTGAGTCACTGTGCCCGGTCCTTAACAGCATATTTTAAAGAAATGACACAGAAACACAGAAATCCCCGGAAGAACTTGCTATAGTACAGCATGGGGGCTGGGAGGGTGTTCTGCCATATTTAGTAAAGGACTGCAAAGATGGACACAGAGTACATATTAGAAAAATTCTGATTACCTGATGTACTCAAGCAAAATGGGAGTAGAATGTAAACCAGCAGAGCATTTAGAAAAGAGTACTGAACAATGAACTGGCTGTCCCAGGATGAAGCCCTGAATCCTCCACTAATAATGTCAGAGATATTGGCACATTCATAAACTCTCTGAGTTTCTTGTGTAAAATGGAATTTGTTTAGTCAAACTCATGTTATTGTGACACAAACTGTATAACATGTTTAAGTAATTTATAAATTTTATTTGTTAATTCAAAATTTAAATCTTGCACATTTATGAAGACCTACCTAAAACACTACAGGGAATGGCCAAATAAAAGACAAGGTATCTCTTACATCAAGTTCTTCCTGTATAGTTTACAGACAAGTGACATGCATGAATCAAGTAGAGAATGAGAGACAGTGAATTATGATATCTCTTCAACTATGTATAAACATAGCAGCTAGAAGCATTAAGTATGTATATTGAGTTTTTTCTCCTCTTCCAATAACTGGACTTTTGCTGGGCTCCACTTTTAATGGCTTTTTATATAAATGTTCTCCACAGCCTTCTCTCAACCATTTTTGCTGTATCCTTTCTCACAAGATGAACTTAATTACTCTGCCATCAATGCAAGGTGGAACTTCCTGTATTCTTCACTGATACAACTATACTGGCTACCTACAGCCGGCAAATGTTCTGATTGCCCAGAGCCCATGCCCTATTGCTGATGACCGGTACCATGTTAGTTATTAACTGTCGGCTTTACATGGATAACTCTTGTCCACATTTCCATCCTCCTTTCCAAACACTGCACCTGGAAGTCTTGCCAACTTGTTAAGGTTATTGCTAAACCTTAACACATCACCCGCTTTCCTCACATTGGCTTTCTTTTTTCTAGTGCTTATTTTGATACAGGGTTTATTGTTTTAGTTGTCTCCCTTTCTCCATACTTATTAAGTGCTTTTTCTTTTCTTTTCCATTTTGAAATAACTCTTGTACACTTTTTTGTTCAGTTCATAATTACTGTACCTAAGTTGAGGGCCATTTCCTTGAATCATTGCACATTTTTTTTTTTGCTCCTACTTCATTTTCTCTCTAATTTCACAACCAATGTTTACAAATTAACCTTAAGTCATTTTTTATTTTTAAAACTTCAATGCTACTTCTCTAGTTAATAAAATCACCATTCAACAGGCTTTAGATTGATACTTTGAGTCCAACATACCTTCCCTTTCATATTTTCACTCACACACTGTATGCTGTGTTCAAGTGCACTGAGACTTATTATATGCTAATCAGAAAAGACTTCATAGAAGAAGTAGTATCTGATAAGTGTCAGGAACCCTGCTTTATGCTTGTGTGAAACCCTGAATAAATCCCTTATAATATAATTTTCTCACTAGATCAAGTTTCCAAACCCACCCACCTCAGTGGTGCCTTCCCTGATTTTCGCACGGTAAAATGTGATTTCTCCCTATTTGAAAACTTCACGGTAGTTTGTTCTTGTTTAAAAATGACTTACTACTTTCTGCCTTTCATTATAATGATTTGTTTTATACTTGTAGTTCTCCCTCATTAGATTTCATGCTCCTTGAGAGAAGGAACTTTATCTTATATTCTTTGCAGTATCTTTGACTATATTTATATTTGATTTTTTGCAGTATCAGTGGCCATTGAATTGAAAGATTCCAACAGACAAACTAATGCTTGTTTTGACTCTCATTTACAGGACTGCAACTAAACTAAAATACAAAAATTACACACACACATACATTCACACACAGACACACACACACACATACACACACACAAACACTAAAATTAATCATCAATGGTGTGCTGGTATATCAGGTAATCAGAGTCTTCCTAGCACATAACCTGTGTCCATCTTTATTGTCCTCTGCTGAATGTGGCAGAACACCCTTTCAAACCCCATGCTTTACTGCAGATAGTTTTTTCTTTTATTATTATACTTTAAGTTTTAGGGTACATGTGCACATTGTGCAGGTTAGTTACATATGTATACATGTGCCATGCTGGTGCGCTGCACCCACTAACTCGTCATCTAGCATTAGGTATATCTCCCGATGCTATCCCTCCCCCCTCCCCCCACCCCACAACAGTCCCCAGAGTGTGATATTCCCCTTCCTGTGTCCATGTGATCTCATTTTTCAATTCCCACCTATGAGTGAGAATATGCGGTGTTCGGTTTTTTGTTCTTGCGATAGTTTACTGAGAATGATGATTTCCAATTTCATCCATGTCCCTACAAAGGACATGAACTCATCATTTTTTATGGCTGCATAGTATTCCATGGTGTATATGTGACACATTTTCTTAATCCAGTCTATCATTGTTGGACATTTGGGTTGGTTAAAAGTCTTTGCTATTGTGAATAATGCCGCAATAAACATACGTGTGCATGTGTCTTTATAGCAGCATGATTTATAGTCCTTTGGGTATATACCCAGTAATGGGATGGCTGGGTCAAATGGTATTTCCAGTTCTAGATCCCTGAGGAATCACCACACTGACTTTCACAATGGTTGAACTAGTTTACAGTCCCACCAACAGTGTAAAAGTGTTCCTATTTCTCCACATCCTCTCCAGCACCTGTTGTTTCCTGACTTTTTAATGATTGCCATTCTACCTGGTGTGAGATGGTATCTCATTGTGGTTTTGATTTGCATTTCCCTGATGGCCAGTGATGATGAGCATTTTTTCATGTGTTTTTTGGCTGCATAAATGTCTTCTTTTGAGAAATGTCTGTTCATGTCCTTTGCCCACTTTTTGATGGGGTTGTTTGTTTTGTTCTTGTAAATTTGTTTGAGTTCATTGTAGATTCTGGATATTAGCCCTTTGTCAGATGAGTAGGTTGCGAAAATTTTCTCCCATTTTGTAGGTTGCCTGTTCATTCTGATGGTAGTTTCTTTTGCCCTGCAGAAGCTCTTTAGTTTAATTAGATCCCATTTGTCAATTTTGACTTTTGTTGCCATTGCTTTTGGTGTTTTAGACATGAAGTCCTTGCCCATGCCTATGTCCTGAATGGTAATGGCTAGGTTTTCTTCTAGGGTTTTTTATGGTTTTAAGTCTAACCTTTAAGTCTTTAATCCATCTTGAATTGATTTTTATATAAGGTGTAAGGAAGGGATCCAGTTTCAGCTTTCTACATATGGCTAGCCAGTTTTCCCAGCACCATTTATTAAATAGGGAACCCTTTCCCCTTTGCTTGTTTTTCTCAGGTTTGTCAAAGATCAGATAGTTGTAGATATGTGGCGTTATTTCTGAGGGCTCTGTTCTGTTCCATTGATCTATATCTCTGTTTTGGTACCAGTACCATGCTGTTTTGGTTACTGTAGCCTTGTAGTATAGTTTAAAGTCAGGTAGTGTGATGCCTCCAGCTTTGTTCTTTTGGCTTAGGATTGACTTGGTGATGCGGGCTCTTTTTTGGTTCCATATGAACTTTAAAGTAGTTTTTTCCAATTCTGTGAAGAAAGTCATTGGTAGCTTGATGGGGATGGCATTGAATCTGTAAATTATCTTGGGCAGTATGGCCATTTTCACGATATTGATTCTTCCTACCCATGAGCATGGAATGTTCTTCCATTTGTTTGTATCCTCTTTTATTTCCTTGAGCAGTGGTTTGTAGTTCTCCTTGAAGAGGTCCTTCACATCCCTTGTAAGTTGGATTCCTAGGTATTTTATTCTCTTTGAAGCAATTGTGAATGGGAGTTCACTCGTGATTTGGCTCTCTGTTTGTCTGTTGTTGGTGTATAAGAATGCTTGTGATTTTTGTACACTGATTTTGTATCCTGAGACTTTGCTGAAGTTGCTTATCAGCTTAAGGAGATTTTGGGCTGAGACAATGGGGTTTTCTAGATATACAATCATGTCATCCGCAAACAGGGACAATTTGACTTCCTCTTTTCCTAATTGAATACCCTTTATTTCCTTCTCCTGCCTAATTTCCCTGGCCAGAACTTCCAACACTATGTTGAATAGAAGTGGTGAGAGAGGGCATCCCTGTCTTGTGCCAGTTTTCAAAGGGAATGCTTCCAGTTTTTGCCCATTCAGTATGATATTGGCTGTGGGTTTGTCATAGATAGCTCTTATTATTTTGAAATAAGTCCCATCAATACCTAATTTATTGAGAGTTTTTAGCATGAAGGGTTGTTGAATTTTGTCAAAGGCTTTTTCTGCATCTATTGAGATAATCATGTGGTTTTTGTCTTTGGTTCTGTTTATATGCTGGATTACATTTATTGATTTGAGTATATTGAACCAGCCTTGCATCCCAGGGATGAAGCCCACTTGATCATGGTGGATAAGCTTTTTGATGTGCTGCTGGATTCGTTTTGCCAGTATTTTATTTAGGATTTTTGCACCAATGTTCATCAAGGATATTGGTCTAAAATTCTCTTTTTTGGTTGTGTCTCTGCCAGGCTTTGGTATCAGAATGATGCTGGCCTCATAAAATGAGTTAGGGAGGATTCCCTCTTTTTCTATTGATTGGAATAGTTTCGGAAGGAATGGTACCAGTTCCTCCTTGTACCTCTGGTAGAATTCGGCTGTGAATCCATCTGGTCCTGGACTTTTTTTGGTTGGTAAGCTATTGATTATTGCCACAATTTCAGCTCCTGTTATTGGTCTATTCAGAGATTCAACTTCTTCCTGGTTTAGTCTTGGGAGAGTGTATGTGTCCAGGGATTTATCTATTTCTTCTAGATTTTCTAGTTTATTTGCATAGACGTGTTTGTAGTATTCTCTGATGGTAGTTTGTATTTCTGTGGGATCGGTGGTGATATCCCCTTTATCATTTTTTATTGCGTCTATTTGATTCATCTCTCTTTTTTTCTTTATTAGTCTTGCTAGCGGTCTATCAATTTTGTTGATCCTTTCAAAAAACCAGCTCCTGGATTCATTAATTTTTTGAAGGGTTTTTTGTGTCTCTATTTCCTTCAGTTCTGCTCTGATTTTAGTTATTTCTTGCCTTCTGGTAGCTTTTGAATGTGTTTGCTCTTGCTTTTATAGTTCTTTTAATTGTGATGTTAGGGTGTCAATTTTAGATCGTTCCTGCTTTCTCTTGTGGGCATTTAGTGCTATAAATTTCCCTCTACACACTGCTTTGAATGCGTCCCAGAGATTCTGGTATGTTGTGTCTTTGTTCTCGTTGGTTTCAAAGAACAACTTTATTTCTGCCTTCATTTCGTTATGTACCCAGTAGTCATTCAGGAGCAGGTTGTTTAGTTTCCACGTAGTTGAGCGGTTTTGAGTGAGATTCTTAATCCTGAGTTCTAGTTTGATTGCACTGTGGTCTGAGAGATAGTTTGTTATAATTTCTGTTCTTTTACATTTGCTGAGGAGAGCTTTACTTCCAAGCAGGTGGTCAATTTTGGAATAGGTGTGGTGTGGTGCTGAAAAAAATGTATATTCTGTTGATTTGGGGTGGAGAGTTCTGTACATGTCTATTAGGTCTGCTTGGTGCAGAGCTGAGTTCAATTCCTGGGTATCTTTGTTGACTTTCTGTCTCGTTGATCTGTCTAATGTTGACAGTGGGGTGTTAAAGTCTCCCATTATTAATGTGTGGGAGTCTAAGTCTCTTTGTAGGTCACTCAGGACTTGCTTTATGAATCTTGGTGCTCCTGTATTGGGTGCATATATATTTAGGATAGTTAGCTCTTCTTGTTGAATTGATCCCTTTACCATTATGTAATGGCCTTCTTTGTCTCTTTTGATCTTTGTTGGTTTAAAGTCTGTTTTATCAGAGACTAGGATTGCAACCCCTGCCTTTTTTTGTTTTCCATTTGCTTGGTAGATCTTCCTCCATCCTTTTATTTTGAGCCTATGTGTGTCTCTGCACATGAGATGGGTTTCCTGAATACAGCACACTGATGGGTCTTGACTCTTTATCCAATTTGCCAGTCTGTGTCTTTTAATTGGAGCATTTAGTCGATTGACATTTAAAGTTAATATTGTTATGTGTGAATTTGATCCTGTCATTATGATGTTAGCTGGTGATTTTGCTCGTTAGTTGATGCAGTTTCTTCCTAGTCTCGATGGTCTTTACATTTTGGCATGATTTTGCAGCGGCTGGTACCGGTTGTTCCTTTCCATGTTTAGTGCTTCCTTCAGGAGCTCTTGTAAGGCAGGCCTGGTGGTGACAAAATCTCTCAGCATTTGCTTGTCTGTAAAGTATTTTATTTCTCCTTCACTTTTGAAGCTTAGTTTGGCTGGATATGAAATTCTGGGTTGAAAATTCTTTTCTTTAAGAATGTTGAATATTGGCCCCCACTCTCTTCTGGCTTGTAGGGTTTCTGCCAAGAGATCCGCTGTTAGTGTGATGGGCTTCCCTTTGAGGGTAACCCGACCTTTCTCTCTGGCTGCCCTTAACATTTTTTCCTTCATTTCAACTTTGGTGAATCTGACAATTATGTGTCTTGGAGTTGCTCTTCTCGAGGAGTATCTTTGTGGCATTCTCTGTATTTCCTGAATCTGAACGTTGGCCTGCCTTGCTAGATTGGGGAAGTTCTCCTGGATAATATCCTGCAGAGTGTTTTCCAGCTTGGTTCCATTCTCCCCGTCACTTTCAGGTACACCAATCAGACGTAGATTTGGTCTTTTCACATAGTCCCATATTTCTTGGAGGCTTTGCTCATTTCTTTTTATTCTTTTTTCTCTAAACTTCCCTTCTCACTTCATTTCATTCATTTCATCTACCATTGCTGATACCCTTTCTTCCAGTTGATCTCATTGGCTCCTGAGGCTTCTGCATTCTTCACGTAGTTCTCGAGCCTTGGTTTTCAGCTCCATCAGCTCCTTTAAGCACTTCTCTGTATTAGTTATTCTAGTTATACATTCTTCTAAATTTTTTTCAAAGTTTTCAACTTCTTTGCCTTTGGTTTGAATGTCCTCCCATAGCTCAGAGTAATTTGATCGTCTGATGCCTTCTTCTCTCAGCTCGTCAAAGTCATTCTCCATCCAGCTTTGTTCCATTGCTGGTGAGGAACTGCGTTCCTTTGGAGGAGGAGAGGCGCTCTGCTTTTTAGAGTTTCCAGTTTTTCTGTTCTGTTTTCTCCCCATCTTTGTGGTTTTATCTACCTTTGGTCTTTGATGATGGTGATGTAGAGATGGGTTTTTGGTGTGGATGTCCTTTCTGTTTGTTAGTTTTCCTTCTAACAGAGAGTACCCTCAGCTGCAGGTCTGTTGGAATACCCTGCCATGTGAGGTGTCAGTGTGCCCCTGCTGGGGGGTGCCTCCGAGTTAGGCTGCTCAGGGGTCAGGGGTCAGGGACCCACTTGACGAGGCAGTCTGCCCGTTCTCAGATCTCCAGCTGCGTGCTGGGAGAACCACTGCTCTCTTCAAAGCTGTCAGACAGGGACATTTAAGTCTGCAGAGGTTACTGCTGTCTTTTTGTTTGTCTGTGCCCTGCCCCCAGAGGTGGAGCCTACAGAGGCAAGCAGGCCTCCTTGAGCTGTGGTGGGCTCCACCCAGTTCGAGCTTCCTGGCTGCTTTGTTTACCTAATCAAGCCTGGGCAATGGCGGGCGCCCCTCCCCCAGCCTTGCTGCCGCCTTGCAGTTTGATCTCAGACTGCTGTGCTAGCAATCAGCGAGACTCCGTGGGCGTAGGATCCTCCGAGCCAGGTGCGGGATATAATCTCATGGTGCGCCGTTTTTTAAGCCAGTCGGAAAAGCATAGTATTTGGGTGGGAGTGACCCGATTTTCCAGGTGCCGTCGGTCACCCCTTTCTTTGACTCAGAAAGGGAACTCCCTGACCCCTTGCGCTTCCCAAGTGAGGCAATGCCTCGCCCTGCTTTGGCTCACGCACAGTGCGCGCACCCACTGACCTGCGCCCACTGTCTGGCACTCCCTAGTGAGATGAACCCGGTACCTCAGCTGGAATTGCAGAAATCACCCGTCTTCTGCGTCCCTCACGCTGGCAGCTGTAGACCAGAGCTGTTCCTATTCGGCCATCTTGGCTCCTCCCCCTGCAGATAGTTTTTTTAGAAAATTTATTTCATTCAACAATCTGAATGAATTTTTCCTCTTATGCATAAACTTAGAAGCCATGATTGCTACTATTTGTGTTTTCTTTTCTAATATATTTTAATATAATATCTTATTCCATTGGCAAATAAAATCAGTGCTTCCAGGTAAATAAAAATTGGCTAGCCTATTTATTTATTATTTATTTATTTTAAATTCACTTTCTAGTTGAAAGAGACTTAAAGTGCTGTCAATTCACAAACTTCTGTCTCTGAAAATAACATGGCAATTTTCCCCGGTGATAGTGTTTCTGTAGCTGTTTAAACCCAGTTAAAATTTCACATACAATAATGGGTTCTATTAATCTTTTAGAAAGCAGTCACTTTAAAAGACAATAGTTAAATGAGATGAAGAGTGATGATGCCTCATCAGTATATAGAGTGAAGCTAAAAGTCTTTTAAATATATCTCCATCCACTGAGGTCACTGTCATAAAGATAAACTATCTCCTTATCACCACAAGATGGTGACACTTTCTGAACCAGGATTTGATAATGGATGGACCTTAGATGTAAATTATTATGAATGTACATGCAATTTTAATTACCATTTATTCTTTCTGCAGAATTGTATCAAGTGGCCACAGTATCCTGGGAATTGTATGAGAGGCTAAACCTATAAAAAAGATTTTGTTCTAAATGTATTCTTTAATATATTTACTGTAATAGATGCTCTTTGGAGAAAAAAATCCTCTTGTCAAATAATGTTGGGAAACATCTCTATCTCCCTTTTAGAAACGTACGTGCATATTAGCATATGACAATTTCAGATAATGCCGGCACTAAAAAACACCCTGCTTGACTTTGTTTACTACAGTTTCTCCCACACGTTTTTGACAAGAAAATGTTTGTGTTTATGTCCCCTCTTGCCTGGTCATAACTGTCACCAATAGATAATGCTCTGGATAAGCCTCTGGGACTTTCCATCATCTCAGTATAACTTATAAAGTCTTGATTACACACTGACATACACATATGGAGGAAGACACACATCCCATAGGAAACTTGCCCCTTGTATGGAAGATGAATAAGATTTCAATTTTTATCCTCACTCGCAATCTGTTTAACTTTGAGAAAATCACTTCACCTCTCTGGGCCAAATTATTTCCATTGCATACAAGTAAAAATAACAATGAATTTGTACTCTAAAGTTGAGGAGCAGATCTTATGATGGCTGTTAGTATTATGATGATAGCATAACCTTATGATGATATTACCACCAACTTTGAGAATGAGAATGTATGCTTATAATACTATTAGGATGAAATATAAACTATAGTGCACCTAACAAGTTATGAACACATGTGAAGAACATGTTGGGTTTGGCTCACATCCAGGTGATATAGCTTATTTAAAGATACATGGCTCTCCTGAAGCGACGTCTGGAGATTTTGGGTGATTTTCTCCCAGTTTTCTAGAATATAGCACTAAAAGGTTTTTACTGTTCACTTATACATGATTAGATTTGGCTATGCATGTCCCTGAAATAGTTGATAAAGAAAATATATGATTGACTTGAGCAATTGAAAGGATGTAAAATTTCATAATAAATAAAAGCAGTTATTAAGAATTTTTAGGGAGCCAGTGTACCAAGAGAAAATTGAATGCTGTGATGATATTTAATATAAATTCAATCCAAAACAGCCATTTTATGGAAACCCAATGAGTTAATCAACACTATTTCAGAGGTTATATAGACATGGGCAAGAGATTTATGCTATTTTACTAATAAATAATCTTTGTTATACTTTCTTTTAAATGTAAGAAATTTTAAAGTTTCAAAAAGAGGTAAATTTATTACCTGAGTTCTAAATCTGTCCCTAAAGAGCTGTGTGACATTAGGCAATGTCACTTTACTTCTATGCTCTCATGTTTTATATATACAGAGAAAGACTTCAACCATATCTATTTTCAGATATAAAAATTATTATCAAAGAAATAATGCAGAGATGTCAGAACTCTGATGAAAATGAAGGTAAGTCATTCCAATACATATTTTCTATTCACCTCAGTTGAAAAGTGACCTTTAGTATAAAGTTATTTGAAAATACTAATTCATGGGTAAATTCAGTTATAGCTACTTTGAGTTAATATGATTTGTGGAAATGCACAATTCAAATGGTATTGGATGTATATTTGAGAGATTGCAACAGTCTAATAAGTTACTAAATATGAAGGAGTCATGAGACAGACATCATACTCAAGCATTACAAAATTTAGTTGTGTGGTCCTTCTACAGAGCCAAAGAAAATATCTTACTTAACATCTTAGAAAAAGTGTGTGTTTGAGCCATGGAAATAATAATATAGATACATTTTAATCACCTTTTGGTAGCAAGGAATAAATGCAATGTATAAAGACCACAGGCCACATTGCCTATCTTTAAACTCTAGAACTGAAACTCCCCGGGCAGTTCTTTCAGTTATGTGCTTTGGGGAAGGAACCCTCATTCTCTATGGTTCAGTTTTCTCATCTGAAAAACAGGAATAATAATAGTAAGTATCTTACAAAACGTTTTTTGGTAATTAACAATGCATGCAAAACATAGTAGCTGTTTCTTACAGAAAGTGCTTTATTAATGTAAGCAAATTTTAAGATTAATACTCAAAAACTAGTTTCAATAAAGGTAGAGTAACTTGATTTATACTAATTATTCTGCTAATAACAATAATAAGCAATTATTAAAATACTGCTATAAAACAATTGTCTAAAGCACTGGAAACTAGAAGAGAAACAATCCTTTTTAAAAAAAGGATTTTAAAAAATTCTGAGAGTTTTGGAATTCAATAGCTTTTCTCCAAAGGAACCTCTAATATACCTTGGAACCTTCTAGGTGCAAGGCCTACAAAAACACAGAAGCAGGCTGCATCTGGGAGAATAAAGACTTGGGCAGAAATTAAAGCAGCTCTATGTTTGAGAAACATTTGGGGTTCAAGTCTTAACAAGTTAGAGGGGTTCAGTAAACACCTTGGGATTTTCATGGAAATCCCAGAAGAACCATGTCTTACAAGTAAAGATAAACGGCTACATCCTAGTTCTAAGAGCAAAACCAGTATTCTTAACAGCCCCACTTAGAACAGAGCTTAAATAAGATAAATCAAACTTCCCATTTTCTAATTCCCTACTGAAACAAAACACTTTTTTTTAGAAATGATGACATAATTCAGATTTTCTACAACATGGTATGCATAATGTCCGGTGTGCAGCTAAAATTTAAAATGTGTAGCAATAAAGAGGAAAATTGAACACAAAATTAAAAAGAAAAAACAGAAACAGACCTACAGATGACCCAGATACTGGAATTAGCAATAAAATTCATTAAAGCAGGCTTAATATACATTAAAATGGGTTTTATACATATATGAGAGGAATCAGGAAAACATGATGAAAATAGGTAAACAGATGGAGAGCCAAAGCAGAGATGGAAAAATCTAAAAAGGAACCACATGGAATTATTACAAGAGAATAATATATCATCTACAGTATAAAAGATCTTTGGACGGACTAGACATAGCAGAAAAATGAATCAACATGTGAAAACAAATAAAATATCAAAGATGCTAGAACCCCCCAAACACTTTAAGCCTTGAGAAAGATGTGACTGTAATCCAAGTCACGTATGGTTACAACTTCTGTTCTTAGATTATAGATTAAATCGCTTTCTTTTTTTTTTAATTCTTTACAATGACTGGAGAGAATTAAATGATGTAAGGAACAAAAAAATCCTGCTTTTCTAATTAATGACCCTTATTATAGATTAACTTCTTGTTGTCCTGCTTTGATTAGACAAGATGACAGAAAACCCATGTTTATTACATCTTGTGTAAAACATGTTAAATGTTCATTTCCTAAAAAGAAGCACTGACTATAACCAGTCAAAATGCCGTAACTATGTGCCAAACTTGTGTGAATAATGTTGTAATCTTCCAAAAAACTCCTTTGTCTCTGCCTATAGAATGAAACACTAACTTCTCTGCTTCGGAATGCTGACTCCATTGCTCTGCAGTTGGAGTTTCCAGGTGGTCCATTCTCACACTTTGTGCTAGAATAAGCTTTTTAAATTCGATTCTGACCCTTTTGGTTAATTTAAGTTGGCAAACAGTTACAAGGACACATCACTAGAAATTATTTGAACTGAAACACAGAATATATGAAAATGAAAAGTCATAATAGAGCCTGTAAGTCTTGTATCATGGCCAGGTGCAGTGGCTCACATCTGTAATCTCAGCACTTTTGGAGGCTGAGGTGAGAGGATCACTTGAGCCCAGTACAAGATCAGCCTGGGCAATATAGCAAGATCCCATCTCAAAAAAGGGCCTGTATTATAATACCAAATGATAATATGTAATTATCAAGCAGAGGAGTGAATAGAGAAGAAAATAAGTATTTGAAGATATAATAGTGAAAATATTTCTAAAAATGACACAATGTATTTAGCCATAGACCTAGAATCCACAAAACTCTAAGCAAAAACAAAAGCAAAAAAGAAAAACACACCTGTAGGCATTATATCAGACTATAAAAAACAAAAATAAAGAACAAAAATGATAAAAGCAGTCGAATATAATGGACAATAATAAGGATTTAACAACAGTAAGGATGATAACTCACTTATTATCAGAAAAAAAAGAAAGCCATGAAATAAAAATATATCTTCTAAGTACTGGGGGTGGTAGTGAAAGGAGCTATGAACCTAGTATTTTCCAAATGTCTTTAATAGAAGAAGAATAAATTCTTTTGGATGGAGGAAATAAAAACTAAAATAATCTGTCATGAAAAAGTGAAGAAAAGATTAAGACAATTGGAAATAGTAAATATGTGGGTATATAAAATAGGTTATATTTTTCTTATTTAAAAATGTCTAACTGTTTAGGGCAATAAATACTGATATTCACAGAAGTAAAATATTAGCAGATTTGGCAAATAAAATTATACATGTTAAGGTATAATATTAACTTGAGTAGCAACCACTGATAAATAAAACAAAGAAATATAGCTAATAGATTACAAGGGGAGATCAGATGAACTAATATGAAGTACTCAACTAGGACAAAAAAAGAAGGAAGAATGGAGCAAAGTATCAGGCAGAACTTTTAGGAAACACATAGCCAGATGTCGGACTTAAACTCAACATAACTATAATGTTATTTGATATATATGGACTAAACTCTCCAATTAAAAGAAACATATTGTCAGACTAGTTTTAGTGATGAATCATACTACAAGCATGTATGAAGACATGGCCAGGTTGAAAATGATAGATTGGGAAAAGATAGGCAAAGCAACCACATATCATAAGAAACCCATATTAATAGCAAACAAAGTAGATTTCAGGAAAGTGAGTATTATCAGAGGTAAATAAGGATATTTTACAAATATAAATGATTTTTTTTCAAAAATTAATAGAACACAAAGACAGAAATCAGTAAGGATATATAAAAATTGGGCAACAGTAGTAACCAATGTGATGAAATTGACATTTACAACATACCACCTGGAACACCTTCAGAATACATATTCATCTTAGGTATGTATAAAACATTTACTAAAAAATAGACCATAAGCTGTAAATCAAGTACTAATTGATTCAAGATTAAAAATAAACAGTATGTGTTCTTGGCTCATAATAAAATTAAAAATACATGACAAAAATAAAATTAGAACTTTTCAAATATTTGAAATCAAGCAACACACTTATAGTCAGTGGACTGAAGAAGAAATCATGAAAGACATTAGAATAGTCCAGGTGTGGTGGCTCACCCCTGTAATCCCAGTCTTTGGGAGACTGAGGTGGAAGGATCTCTTGAGGCCACGAGTTCGAGACTAACCCAAGCAACATAGTGAGACCCCACTCCACACACAAAGACACACACACACACACACACACACACACACACACACACACACACACAAATTTAAAAAATTAGCCAAGTATAGTGGCATGCCTCTGTATTCCTAGCTACTTAGGAGACTGAGGCAGGAGGATCACTTGAGCCCAAGTGTGTGAGGCTGCAGTGAGCCATGATCCAGCCACTGCACTCCAGCCTGGATGACAGAGTGACATCCTGTCTCAAAAAAAAGAAAGAAAAGAAAAGAAAGAAAGAAAAGAAAAGAAATTAGAAAATATTTTGACATGATAATATATAGAAAATTTAAAAATTGAGAGGGAAATATTTATGGTCTCACATTTATACATTAGAAAACATGAAAGTTTTGAAATAAGATAATAACTCAAGGAGATTTTAAAAAAGATGAGCAATTAAACCCAAACGACAAGAGTAAAGCAAACATAAATAAGAATAAGATGGTACTGCCATAAAAAGACACATAGACAAATGGAACAGAATAGAGAACTGATAAGTAAATCTATGCATTTAAAGCCAACTGATTTTTTACAAAGACACCAAGAACACACACTGGGAAAAGAACAGTGTCTTCAATAAATGGTGCTGAGAAAACTGGATATATATTTGCAGAAGAAAGAAATTAGACCCATATCTCTCACTACATATATATATATGTATATATAAATCCTAAATGGATTGAAGATTTAAATGTAAAACCCAAAACCAAAACTGTGAAACAACTAGAGTAAAACATAGGGGAAATGCTTGATAAAATTGGACTGAACAAGGATTTAAAAAAAAAAAAGCACAGGCAACAAAAACAAAAATAGACATATATTATTATGTCAAGCTTAAGAGCTTCTGCACAGTAAAGGAAGAAATAGTGTGAACAGATATCTATAGAATGGAAGAAAATATTTGAAAACGATTCATCTAACAAGGGATTAATATCCAGAATATATAAGGGACTCAAACAACTCAATAATGAAAATACAAATAATCCAATATAAACATGGACAAAGGGTTTGAATAGGCATTTGTCCAAAGAAGACATACAAATAGCAATCAGTTAAAATTTTTTAATAAAACATTTCAATATCACTAATCATCAGGGAAATGCAAATCAAAAATCACAATGAGACCTTACCTTGGTTGGAATGGTTACAATAAAAAATACAAAAAATAACAAATGCTTGTAAGGATGTGGAGAAAGAGGAACTCTTATGCAATCTTGGTGGGAATGTAAACAGCTGTTATACAAAAGAGTATGGGCCGGGTGCGGTGGCTCACACCAGTAATCCCGGCACTTTGGGAGGCCAAGGTGGGCAGAACACCAGAGGTCAGGAGTTGGAGGCCAGCCTGGCCAACATGGTGAAACCGTCTCTCTACTAAAATACAAAAATTAGTCAGACGTGGTGTCGGGTCGGGCGCCTGTAATCCCAGCTGCTTGGGAGGCTGAGGCAAGAGAATCACTTGAATCCAGGAAGTGGAGGCTGCAGTAAGCTGAGATCGTGCCACTGCACTGCAGCCTGGGCAACAGAAAGAGACTCTGTCTAAAAAAAAAAAAAAAAAAAAAAAAAAAGACAGAAAGAAAAGAAAAGAGTATGAACGTTCCTCAAAAAACTAAAAATAGAACTACCATCTAATTCAAATCCCATTATTTGGCATATATCCAAAGGAAATGAAATTAGTATTTTGAAGAGATAATTGAACTCCTATTTATTGCTGTGCTATTCACAATAACCAAGAAGAATGCTCCACCTAAATGTCCAACTACAGATAAATGAATAAAGAAAATGTGAATAGTATTCTTCATAAAAAAAGAGTGAAACCCTATCATTTTTTGGTAGCAGATATGTACCTGGAGGACATTATATGAAATAAGCAAAGCACAGAAAGTCAAAGACCACATGATCACACTCACATGTGGGATGTAAAATTGTGATTTTATAGAAGTAGAGACTAGAACAGTGGTTATTAGAGGCTGTGGAGGATAGGGAAGATGGGAGGACTAGGAGATGTTGGTCAACCAATACAAAGTTACAGTTAGGAATTGTAAGTTCTGGTGTTCTATTAGACAGTAGGGTGACTATAGCTTATAACAATGTATTGTATATTTCAAGAATAGAAAATATTTAAGTCAAGAAAAAAACAATAGAAAATAATTAACAAAAGAAAAAGTTTTTTTAAATTAAAAATTGACAGGATCAATATCAACACTTTTCAAGAAAATAGAAGGAAGGAACACAAATATCTAGAAAGAAATAGGAAACATCACTATATAGGTTACAGAAACGAAAAGGATAATGGAGGGATAACATTAAAAACTTTAGCCTAATAAATTCAATAATTCATATGACAAGGACAATCTCCCTAACTCACTAAAATGAATACAAAAAGAACTAATAACTAGACAACTTCTCACAAAGAAAACTCCAGGGCCAGATGGTTTCACTGATGAATCATATCAAATATTTAAGAAATAATACCAATTTACATTAATTCTTTTAAAAATAAATGAGGAAATGTGTATCAATTTTTTAAAATGGTGTCAGTATAAATCAGATGTGAAAATCTGACAATAAACATTATAAGAAAAGAAAAATTTAGACAGTATTCCTTACTAACACAAATGCAGACACGTCATTGAAATCTTAACAAACACAACAATATATAAAAAATGATAATATACCAGGATTAAGTTATTGGAACACAAAATTGACATATCTTTGAAATCAATTATTGTAATTTGTTACATAAGAATAAAGAAGAAAAATCACATAATTATCTTAATAAACAAAAAACTCCTTTGATAAAATTCAATAATCTTGAAACTTGTAACAAGTAGAAATTAAGAGATATATTAAAATCTAAAATTAGATATTTATAAAATGAAGCTACAGCTAACATCATACTTAATGGAGAAGTGTTAACATTTCTACAATTAGGAGCAAAGTAAGGATGCCACTTTCACGTTTTCTCTTCAACATTATTCTGGATTAGCATCATGGGAGTAAGACAAGAAAGAATAGCATAAAAATTAGAGAACAAAAAGAAAATGGACATTTGTTGACACATTGTGTAACTAACATTTAAAATAATCTACAGATTAATAATTAGATTTTTTAAAGTAGCAGGATACAAGGTCAATATAAAATAATCAACAGTATTTCAATATTCTAGTAAAAAACAATTAGAAAATATATTAGAATTCTCTAGAGGGACAGGACTAATAGGATAGATGTATATATGAAAGGGAGTTTATTAAGGAGTATTGATACACACGATCACAAGGCGAAGTCCCATAATAGGCCATCTGCGAGCTGAGGAGCAAGGAAGCCAGTTTGAGTCCCAAAACCTCAAAAGTAGTGAACCCAACAGTGCAGCCTTCAGTGTGTGGCGGAAGGCCTGAGCTGCCCCGGCAAACTACTGGTATGAACCAAGAGTTCAAAAGCTGAAGAACTTGGAATCTGATGTTCCAAGGCAGAAAGCATCCAGCACGAGAGAAAGATGAAGGCTGGAAACCTCAGCCAATGTAATCCTTCCATGTTTCTCTGCCTGGTTTTATCCTAGCCACGCTGGCAGCTGATTAGATGGTGCCCACCCAGATCGACGGTAGGTCTGCCTCTCCCAGTCCATTGCCTCAAATGTTAATCTCTTTTAGCAACATCCTCACAAACACACCCAGGAACAATAGTTTGGATCCTTCAATCCAATCAAGTTGACAATATTAACCATCACAGAAAAGAAATTTTAAAAACAGCATATTTATGAAAGCATGATAAAACCTAAAATTCTAAGAGTAAATTAATCAAAACATGCAAAAATTTTACACTGAAAGCTTTACACTTTGCTGATAGAAATTAAAGAAGACCTGCATAAATGGAAAGATTGAAAAAGGAAATACTGTTAAGAGATGCTGATACTCTCTAATTGTGTCTACACACTTTGCAACCCCAATCAATATCCAGTAGCCTTTTAAAAAATTGACTAACTGCATCTAAAATTTGTATAGGAATGCATAGTATCTACTGTATGCAACACAATCTTGAACCAGAAGCACAAATTTGAATTACTTACACTTCTTTAATACATGTTATAAAATATGTAATTAAGACAGTGGGGCCGGGTGCAGTGGCTCACGCCTGTAATCCCAGCACTTTGGGAGGCCGAGGCGGGAGGATCACGAGGTCAGGAGTTCGAGACCAGCCTGGCCAATATGCTGAAACCCTGTTTCTAATAAAAATACAAAAATTAGCCGGGTGTGGTGGCGGGCGCCTGTAGTCCCAGTTACTCAGGAGGCTAAGACTAGAGAATCACTTGAACCCAGGAGGTGGAGGTTGCAGTGAGCCAAGATAGCACCATTGCACTCCGGCCTGGGCAACAGAGTGAGAGAGATTCTATCAAAAAAAAAAAACAAAAAACAAAAACAAAACAAAACAAAAAAAACCACAAAGACAGTGGAGTATTTGTGTGACCACAGATAATTATTGGAATAAAATCTAGAGTTCAGAAATAGATCCACATATATAAAGTTAATTAATTTTCAACAAATACATCCATATAATTCTGGGTGAAAAAATATACTTTTTTTCTCTGACAAATTATGCTGAGTAATTGAATACCTATATAATATATAAATTTTCAATCCCACCTAATACATTAAAATATATAACTATATATTATGCCTATAAGTTTTTTTTTTTTTTTTTGAGACAGAGTCTCACTCTTTTGCCCAGGCAAGAGTGCAGTGGCACTATCGGCTCACTGCAAGCTCCACCTCCAGGGTTCATGCCATTCTCCTGCCTCAGCCTCCCAAGTAGCTGGGACTACAGGCGCCCGCCACTGCGCCCAGCTTATTTTTTGTATTTTTAGTAGAGACGGGGTTTCACCGTGTTAGCCAAGATGGTCTAGATCTCCTGACCTCGTGATCCGCCCGCCTCGGCCTCCCAAAGTGCTGGGATTACAGGCATGAGCCACCGCGCCTGGCCGCCTGTAAGTTTTATTTAAGAAAGCAAAAGAGAATATATTCCAGAGGCAATAATTTTTCAGAAAGAATACAAAAACTTTGACAATAAAATTCAGAATTGAAAATTGGACTTTGCCCAAATAAAAAATGTTCTGCTAATCAAAAGACACTTAGAATATATATAATATATAATATATATATATATACACACACACACACAAGACACAAGGAGATAACATTTTTCATATATTTATCTGAAAGAATTCCTATCCATAAAATATATAGAACTTCTACAGATCCCTAATGAAAAGATAAGTAGTAGAAAAAATTTGGGTCAGGCATGGTGTCTCATGCCTGTAATATCCCAGCACATTAGGAGGCTGAGGTTGGGGGATTGCTTGAGTCCAGGAGGTGGAGGCTGCAGGGAGCCATGATCAGGCCACTGTGCCACTGCACTCCAGCCGGGGTGTCAGTGAGACTCTAACTAAAAAAAAAAAAAAAAAAAAAAAAGATAGATAGATGTACTATATATATGCAAAATTCTTTAAGCAACAATTTATATAGGAAGGATAAAAATGGTCAATGATCATATGAAAAAATTCTCACCTTCCTTACATATCATAGAAAAGCAAAGTAAAGCCACCACACACTCACTGGCATAGCTAAAATTAAGATCTCTCTCTGTTCCTGTGTTAGTTTGCTGAGAATGAACAGAAAAATAAACACTACATGATCTCACTCATAAGTGGGAGTTGAACTATGAGAACACACAGACACAGGGAGGGGAACATCACACAGTGGGGCCTGCCAGCGGTGGCGGCTAGGGGAGGGATAGCATTAGGAGAAATACCTAATGTAGATGACGGATTGATAGGCGCAGCAAACCACCATGGCACGTGTATGCCTATGTAACAAACCTGCATGTTCTGCACATGTATCCCAGAACTTAAAGTATAATAAAAAATAATAATAATTTTAAAAATCTCTCACAATAACAAGCAAGTATTGACAAGAATGTGAAAAAACTAGAAGTACGTTGCCGGTAGAAGTGTGAAATGGTAAAACCATTTTGCAGGAGTACTAGACAGTTTCCATTGATTTCAAAGATATATGTACCCTATAATCCAGAAATTCCATTATTAGTTGTCTATTTAGGAAAAATTAAAACATATGTCTTCAATTATAAATAATATTTACAGAAGCTTTATGCATAATAGTCAAACACTGGAAACAACCCAAACGTTCATCAACAATGAGGGAATAAACAAATTTTGGTATATAAATACAGTGTAATATAATAAAAATGATGCACACGACAACATAGATCATTCTCAAAAATATACTGCATAATTCTTTTATATCAAGTCCAAAACAGGCAAAGATAATCCACAGTAACAGACAACATATCAGCTATTGTTTCTAAAGACAACTGACTGAAAAGGGGCATGAGGGAACATTGTGGGGCGATGGTAATATTCTATATTTATGTTTGTGTGATTGTTACATTGACGTATTTATTTGTCAAAACTTATAGAATGTAAACTTAAGATTCATTCTTTCTACTATATATAAATTTTTTCTCAATGAAAAAGAAAAAGAGAGAGAACAAATGCCCAAGGTCACAGAGTTAATGGTTGCAACACATGAGTTAGAATGTCAATTGCTCATTTCTTTTCTAGGACATTTAGGATTTCAATAATCTTAATGTGAGCTGAAAAATCCCTAACAGTAATAATACCAGTCATTTTGGACTGGTGTGAGACATTGAATTTAGGTTAATATCTGTGCCAAGACATTGAACTTAGATTCACCTATGCCAAGGAAATCTTTTTGGTATTAAAAGTTTACAGCACGTTGTTAAAGAATAGTGGAACTGGATATCACAGGGAAGTACCTAAGAAACAAGCAATGAAATGTTATTTTTACCTACAGAGGCAGCTAAGAAAAATACATATTAGAGAAAGGTGAAGATATCAAGTTTTATAGCACAAGCAAGACTGAAGAGGTAAAAGTTTCAAATAATTTTTGAAATTTTAAAAAATAATCAATGATATAGAAATGCTTCCATATGAGAAGAGACTAAAAGCTTTCTTTTATTCTAGCAAGACAGAAAATAGCAAGGGCATGACTAACAAGCTTTAAATGGATGGGAGAGATAATTGAATTCACTTAGAAGGAAGCTTTGGTAAACTCTTCTAATCACTAACTTATTGAGGAGTTTCTTCTATCTCCTCAATAAATAGCAACAATATTTCAGCTAAAATACTGATTATTTCATTAGTAATGGCTGCCTGAAATCCTATGTTAAGACATATTCTGGAATCTATCTAAGTGCAGTGTAAAGAACACCATAGTTGACATGTTCTCTAGTCATGGAAGAGGAAAAGTGGAGTGCTCTCCAGCACTCTTGACCAAGGATTATAAAACATATTCCCTGAATAGCTACAGTCTCCAGAGAGCAAGTGCCAATATTGGATTTCCCATTTTAAACTATAGGCAAGTATAGTGTCTCTCACCATGTCCCCTCCATTACATAGGGAAATGTCTGGCATACAATAGATGATCAATAAAATTTTGGTGATTACATGGATGATAGAATGAATTCAAACAACCATCTCTGCCTTGAAGCTTTTGCTAGTAGTTCAACATTGATCTTTTCCTGTTTGAATCAGCAATGGCAAAATCATAGGTTTTGAACAGCGACTTTGTTCTAAGAATTTCACTATATACTTTACATATATTATTTGTTCCACAGCACAATTTATTAGGGTCAAAATTTCATTATATGCATGACTCTCTACTCTGCTACTGCCAAAAAATATACATTAGAAAATAATTTCTTTAAATTTGTGGATCATAAGATGAATGCTGTGTTACTTATAAATGACAATTTTGCACACCCAATTAAGCAAAAGTGCTGTGTAAACAGAAAATTCTATGTTACTGCAGATAATATCTATGTTTCTGGTGAATATTTTTGAAAAATTACAAATTAATTTTATGCTACTATTAATTATGATTTTATAGCGCCATTAAATTTAAGATAGTTTCTTTTATGATACAAATGTAATTATTTGGAGTGAATAGAGGTAAAATAAATTATTAACACTGATGTATATTGCAATTAACTCCCAAGACAAATAATTTCATTAATAATTCTGTGTCAAAACTACAGTGCTTTCAGCATTCATTATACAAATTATCTTTTACATCTTTTCATAATTTAATTTACTCACCTAAATGAGTATAAAATACATCAAAATAATTAGGAATAACTGATTATGTCATTCTTATATGTCTGTAAGTATATTTAAGGTGTTATGCTGCATATATTATATTAATCTCTAATAAAGTAAACTTCTAAAAAATCAAATTTATTTTACATTAGTATAATTTCCCTGGGATACATTTTTTAAAATAATAACACAATTATCACATTGTTTCAAGATAATTAGCAGATCTAGACTAAAAGATTAGTAATAGTTTAATTTATAACCCAAGATTATTGTTTGTTTGTTTGTTTTTAATTGGCTCCCAGGGTGTCATTTCTACTATTTTGTGATGTTGTTCTTTCCATGAATACACTTCTTCTTCAATAGAAAAACTCATAATTTCCACACATCACCCCCCCACAAGACTTTAAAGCAGTTTCAATTCCATAAGCAATAATTACAGTGCAATTTATAAATAGGGAGTTACAAAATAACAGAGTATGGTGTTACAATACCATCCCACTTCCCACTCTACCATCTCTTCGAATAAAGATGTTAAGATAAGTTAATTTCTTCTAATGAAGTCAGAGTGTATGGTTCTCCCAAGAACTGAGTGTGAGTCACTTTTTACGGTATCTCCGATCTTAGAAGGGAAGGAATTGCTGGTGGTGATATGTTACAGTGGTTTCTAAAAGGTAAGATATTTTGATTTGTACATGATAGAGGTTGCATTTGAGGCCCAGAGAAGTTGTTGTGTGCTGGAATTAGTAATACAACTAGTAAAGTCCTAATACCTCAAGTTCCTGGATTTAGATCCAGGTTTAGTTGCTGTATTATGTAAATTTGTTAGAAGAAATGCTTGTTCTCTTCCATTTGTGTTTCTAGAGAGAGAAAGAGACTTCCGATTCTAAGGGATGATTATTTGGATGCACATTTCCAGCTCCTTCCTTCGGCTCCTTATTTTTTCCTTTCCACGGTGACATCCATCAATCTAAGGAAATTTAGCAATAGGTCTCAAATGCATGCTGGATAGAATTTGCCAAGGTTTTTTGTGTTACATTATCTATCTATTTTACAGTAATGTTGAGAACTCTCCTTTATTTGGCTAATAAAGACTATTTATTAATATGTTAGGAATCTAGGAAAGGAGGGGTGAATGACCAAGTGGCCCCACATCTCCAAAAATTGGAAAAAATTACCACCACCAATTAAGATTCTAGGGTCACATCAAGACACACATATGAAATTACATTCTTTAGCACATTAGGGTAAATAGAGGAGGCTGTCTGGAAATAGCCAGAAAAGGAATCCCACTGCCTTAGACCCAGACCATTCCCTCCCAGATGCAAAGACAATCTCTTACTGAGTGTTTACCAAATTTTTCTTCCGTCCTCATTCCCTTCCTCCATCCTTCTCTCTCTTTTTCTATCTTCTCTCTTGTCTTTTCCGTTCCTTTCCTCACAGTTGTTTAAGAGTAGTAATCTTAAGGAAAAAGCACCCTCATTGCATGAAAGCCAAGGGCAGTCAAGGAGAGCTAGAAGCCAGCCAATTATAACATTAATACTAGTAGAAGCCAGATATACCTAACTGGTAGTTTGACATGCGAATTACAACTCTTCTTATATATTCCTTAAAAGTCCAACAGACTTTTATACTAGGCAACATTAGAGAATGGTATAGTGTTGCAATTACTTGCCTACTTTTCTAATAAATAACAGTCTCTACGTTAAACCATCTGTTTCTCAAATGTATCCTAATTAGGCTAAACCATAACAGAAAGAGGACAATTTTCTGTTTGAAAAAACTTTTGTCATTTACCAAGAAGGAAATATTTCCTTTTTTTTTTTTTTTTTGCTTTGATTCTATCCTCCTCTTCCAATTAAATGATCAAGTAGTGCTTGGTTCAGTTGAAAATGTATTATTAATTATCTCTGATGCTCTATAATTCAGTGCATGCCCTAGATAACTTAGCTTCGTGATCTGTTGGTTTACTTGGCCCAGAAGAACATGAATAGTGAGGCTTTGGAACTACAGAAGCTCAAGGCAGAAAGTTCTAAGTAAGCATCTAAACAGAGATAAGCATCTAAGCCATCTAAACTGCAAAGCGTCAAATGGTGTCTTTTCAGCATTGCTGACTAGACAGGTCGCCCTAGGGACTACTCAACTCTGCTGTTGTAGGGCAGCCAGGCAGCCATAGACAATACCTAAATGAATGAGTGTGGCTGGCTCTGGCCCATGGACTATAATTTTCCAACCTCTGATCTAAATGTGCCATTTGTAGATATAGAATGTGCTATCTCAAGAGGATATAACTTCTGTATGGTCTCAGATCCATGGCAGGAAGCCAGGTCTCCTACCTCCCAGATGTTCACTCTTTACATACTATCACACTTCTTCCACTTGCGGCCCAATACTAGGGCAGATAATGATGCTAAAATAATCAGAGGTGTTTTATTTGTAATGCAAATATAAAAACTAAACAGACAAATACTACTAGCTAATATTTATTTATACAGTACTATGCATTATGCAATATGCTAAATTTTTACACATACTTATTTAACCAGCTCCCAACCCTGTGAGAGTAGATAGTTTTATTATGCCTAGTTTGTGCATAAGAAGCTGAGGCTTAGAGATTTTAAGTTAAGTTGCCAAGGCTACAACGTCAGTAAGAGACACAGCTAAGATTCAAACCTGTTTACCAAATCTGATAGGGATACTCATATCATATTGCTTCCACTTACAAATACGTTGACTGTGTGGGGCATCCATTGTTTAGGACCACTAGGCTCCCATTTCATATTGTTGGGTAACTGTAATAGGTTGAATATTATCCACTCAAATGTCACCAGGATAATGCCAGCCTAAGCAGTTGGAATTTTTATTTTGACAGTTTTTTTCAATTTAATCTCCTGATCCACAGGCATGGCTACTTAATGAACCCCAAATAGCTTGGGATGCCCCAAGAGATTTATGATCCTTTGCCAAATACCAGAGGGAAATAAGAACCATGCCAGATGGGTTCAAGTGAGAATTGGTGCCCCCCTTTAAATCATTAACATATAATTGTAATGCTAAAGTCCCCACCCATAGGAGAAAATCATCGTGATTTTCTAAATATACATCATACGAAGAGGGATGTGTATGATCTGCGCCTTCACTCTGGAGTTCCTGCCTGCATGTGTTTACGTACCTCCCCACCCCACATCTCAATTTTGAAAATTCCCCAGCTTCACATAGCTCAGCTTCTGGAGGTAGGAAGGGGTTCTTTAGAGTGACAGCTCACTCCATCTCCATTCCTGGCCAGGAATAAAACCTGCTTGCCTTTTTCCCAATTGGGTGTTCTTTCTTTGTGATCAAAATAAAGTAGAGAAAGAACTCAGTTTACCAGTGACACAAAGACATCACGTCCTAATCCTTAAAACTTTTGTACATTTTATCATATTTGGAAAAAGAACCTGTGCAGATATAATTAAAGATCTTGAGCTGAAGAGATCACTGTGGATTATATGGCTGGAACATAAATAAACTTACAGATCTAATAAGAGCTTTGAGAGAAACAGAAGAGGCAATGTGATGATGAAATCCAGGCTGGCAATGGAGTGATGCAGCCAGAAGCCAAGGAGTGCCTGGGGCCATCAGAACCTGAGAGAGGCCTGGATCCCATTCTTCCCTAAAGTCCCTGGAGGGAGATGGCTCCTGCAAAATTTTGAGTTTCTTGCCAACAAAGCTGTGGAAGAATAAATTTGTATTGATTTAAGCCACCCAGTTTGTAGTAACTTGTTACAATAGTCTCAGGACACTGATCCAGAAACCATGTCCTGATTTCCCTCTGGACCATCTCCCCTTCCCCACCCTCTGCCCATGTGCTTCGCATTGGAAGTGGCTGCTCCCTTTTCTCTAGGAGTGGTATATTTGACCCTGTCCTAAGCCAGTTCAACTTTACATTTCTTTGGCCTCAAGATTAGCTCAGGAATGAACACATAACCCAGACATCCAATGAAAGTGAGTATATGACATTCATAGCTACTAGAAATACTTTATCTTTCCTGCTGGATTGGAAAACAAACAAACAAACAAACAAACAAAAGGGGCTATAGTTGGATTACCTGAATGGTATCCTGCAACCATGAGGGAAGAGGTTGCTGAGTAATGGAAACATCTTGAAGAAATCAATCCAGAGACTGGTAGATTTGAGTTCGAGTGGTTTCTTTCGGGCTCATGTCTAAAGCTTGCAGTAGGACAAGCCCTGCTTTTGGAATTCCTGAATACAGGAGCCAAACATTTCCTTTTATAGATAAGGGTAGATAATAATGAGTTTTCTGTCATATCAGCATAGAAGCTCCTAATTATGGTGGGCTAAGCTTTTTAGAAACTTTATATAAAGCGAAATTTATGTCAGCTTGTGAAATCCTATTTTATGAACTTTCAAAAAATCTCATTGATAATGTAGAATCTGCCAGAAAAATATTTGCACATCAAAGTATGCTGTGTCAAGACTAGTTGATATTTTATCCTAGTGAAACGGGAGAGTTCTCTTATCCCCCACGCAGGGTGTGTGACAGGGGTTTGGTCTCTTCTTCATACCCTGATGCTCAAACCCCTGGGGGGAGCATGCAGGCAGGTGGTAGGGAGTGTTTTGGGGCTCCCACCCCACGGCAGCATCTTGGGGTGAGTGTTTACAACTCCCGAAGCCCCAGTGGGCGTGTGTTAGCGTGCTCTTTCAGCTTTGCTGTCTGCAGGTGGCTTCTGTTAATCAGCTCAGTTAGACCCTCTGTCTTATCGAAAGGACAGAGGGCTTTCTGTATCCGGAGTTCTTGCTCTTGTGTACTGGAAAAATTGGATCACACGTGGGCTTGGAGGATGAGTGCAAGATTGTATTGAGTGGTGAAGGTAGCTCCCCGTGAGATGGATGGGGGGCCAGAAGGGGGATGGAGTGGGAAGGTGGTCTTCCCCTGGAGTCAGGCTGCCCAGCGGCGGGACTCTCCTCCCATCGCCCCGGGGCGTTCCCCTGGCCTCCACCTTGTTTAGCCTTCCGTGGCCTGTCGGTATCTGTTGGTGTCTGACAGTGTGTTCTTCTGCGTCTCTTGATGTCCAGCTGCTTGTGTCTATGCCTGCTAGGGTCTCGGGTTTTTATGGGAACAAGATGGGGGGCGTGGCAGACCAAAAGGCAACTTTTTGGGCAGAAAACAGAAATGCCTGTCTTCGTTTAGGTCTGTGGGCACAGGCCCCAGGGTGGAGCCCTCCAGGGACCATGCCCCTTTCTTTTCTACCCAACACTTCTCTGATCCCCTGCCTTATCAATAGTGCTTTCAGGGGAGGAGAACAGCCTCCTTTTCAGTCTTCATTTTTTATCTAACAGCTGAAATGGTATCACAACAGTAACATTATTTTATCATTCTTTCGTATTGTTCTCCAAACCTACTTCTTGCTTCCAAAAATGTTCAGCAACTGTATAATTCTTGTGAATTTGTCACTGTTTCTCATTGCTGCATTAATCTCTTACTCTCTTCCTCGTTCTTTTTTTGTTTTGTTTTGTTTTGAGACAGGGCCTTACTCTGTCACTCAGGCTGGATGGAGTGCAGTGGCACGATCATCACTGCAACCTTGACCTTCTGGGCTCTGATGACCCTCCCACCTCAGCCACTTGAGCAGCTGGGACCACAGGTATGTGCCACCATGCCCTGCTAATTTTTGTTTGTTGTTTGTTTTTGTTTTTGTTTTTGTAGAGATGAGGTTTGGCCATTTTGCTCAGACTGGTCTCAAACTCCTGAGCTGAAGTGGTCTGTCTGCGTTGGCCTTCCCAAAGTGTTGGGATTACTGGCGTGAACCACCACACTCAACCTCATTCTTAACTCATACATTTAAGTATTAGTTTTATTTTCTAATAAAAGTAATCAGAGGAAGATAATTTTTCCCTATTTTTTGGACAGGTGCTTTTGTATTTTACCTCAAAACAAATGATTTCACATACTTATCTGTAGCCGAAATGATCTCTCTTCATAGTTTGATTAAAACTAAAAACTTAAAACCAACTAAAAATTCAAGTGTTCATTCTGGAAGTTTTTTTTTTTTTTTTTTTTTTTTTAGACAAAGTCAGCTTATGTGATAGCACATTCAAGAGGGCTTTTCCTAATTTAATAAATATCAACCAGTAATAAATAACTAAAACAACACAGTTTAATTAATTATCCATAATTTCTATGTTCCCAACTTTGTTTAAAACCATTTTTCTTTGGGAGGCCTAGGTGGTCAGATCACGAGGTCAGGAGATTGAGACCATATTGGCTAACATGGTGAAACCCTGTCTCTACCAAAAAATACAAAAACAAAATTAGCTGGGTGTGGTGGCGGGTGCCTGTAGTCCCAGGAGCCACTGCACTCCAGCCTGGGCAACAGAGTGAGACTCCTTCTCAAAAAAAAAAAAAAAAAAAAATTTCTTTTGTCAACCCCTAAATAGAAAAGGTAGCTGAACAAACGACATAAACTTTAAAAAAAAGAAATGAAATAATACAGGCATTGAATATGCACATATGACAATCATTACAGCATAGTGCTTCCTTCGATTGAATTTTTTGCTAAGAAAATTACTGAATATAGGAAGTTTCTGGTAAAGACAGAAAGAAACCAGTGACTAAGTTAACAACACTTTGTAATACTTGGCATATCCATATTTTCATGCAGAATAAAATTGTTTCATAATCTAGCATGCATGGTTTTCCTTACATCTAAGAAATGTTGTCATCACAGCTATTGCTGATGCACAGAAGAAATAAAAAACATGGAGTAAGTTGACTATATGAATTATAAGAAGTTGAACACTTTGGATAGAATGGTCTTATGAACTACAGTTCCCTGATGCATTTCCTAGTTTATTTGCATGGTGGTTGAGCTAAGTGTGTGGGTCACAGTACTCGTTATTTCATACATAGATGATTAAATTAACACCATGCTTGGTTGTTTTAATCTTCAAATCACCATATCCCAAATTTTTCTGAAATTCAGGTTTCTTCTATCTAACATTCAAAACACTACTAGAAATATAGTCTTGATATCATAGACACATTGTTCTTTTGTGCAAATTTGGGCAGTGTGTGGAAACACACCTGGGAAAATTTTTGTTTGGACTGTTATTCTGGGAATAGATAGACATAACTGAAATTAATTTCTTTTGCATGGGTCATCCTTCCTATCAATGAGATCGGTATCCTGCCTCTAGACGCTGTGTCTTATTTTCTTTATTCCCTTATTTTCTGAATAAGTAGATCTGTCGAATATTGAAATTCCAAAAATCCTCATATAGAAAAAAGGGGAAGGCGAAATATTTTGAGATGAAAGGCTTTAGATTAGTCTCTGGTGGTTAAATTTAAGAAATGAAGAGGGCCGGGCGCGGTGGCTCACACCTGTAATCCCAGCACTTTGGGAGGCTGAGGCGGGCGGATCACGAGGTCAGGAGAAGGAGACCATCCTGGCTGACACGGTGAAACCTCGTCTTTACTAAAAATACAAAAAAATTAGCCGGGCGTGGTGGCAGGCGCCTGTGGTCCCAGCTACTGGGGACACTGAGGCAGGAGAATGGCGTGAACCCGGGAGGTGGAGGTTGCAGTGAGTTGAGATCACGCCACTGCACTCCAGCCTGGGCGACAGAGCGAGACTCCATCTAAAAAAAAAAAAAAAAGAAATGAAGAAATATAGAGTGATAGAAAGAGGACTAAACCTTAAGCTAATAGCACATGATCCAGAATGGTTGTGATACCAGTTAATCAGGAAGTCTTAATATAGTTCTTCGTTCCTACTAAAGTCATTATCAGCATGTGCTAGCAGGTATGGAGGCAGATAGTATTTCAAAAGGAAAAGAACAAATATTCATGGGTGTCTGCTTTGTGCCAGTCAGTTTGCCCAGTAGTCTTCTTGCAACATCATGTGTGATGCTCATGACCTCAACATAATTAAATAGTTAATAATATATGTTAAGTAAATACTAGATAGAAAATGAAAGAAGACTTATAGTTCAACTGCTGAAAAGATGGATTATTCAGTATTTATTTTGGTAATAGGAGAAACAATGTAGAAAAAAATAAATTATGCATCAAAATAGATTTTGAATGCAATAACAAGTTAAATGTAATAAATAAAACATTAATAATACAACTTAAAAGAATCATAATTAAATAAGCCAGCAATTTTTTATTCAGTGCCTACTACATATGCTGCACTAGATTTTATGGTCAATATAAAAGTTATATGCTTTTCAGTTTTTCTGAGTAACATAAAGTTACTTAGAAACAATTGGTTCTCAAAATGGTTTCCCTAAAGAAGGTGGAAGTAGAGTGTATTGAACACCTCTTATACACTGCTTCAAAATGTTTTGGTCCCACTTCTCATTCCAGTACTGCTTCTATGATCAATTCAGAACAGGTTTTTAATTGCTTCATCCAAACAGAACCTCCTAGCATTTGCATCCAACTCTAGGATTTTTTATTAGGTACTCCAAAATGCGCAACTTGGAAATGAGCTTGAATTAATTTGCTGGGGGTCACTCCTGGTCAGTGGAGGATGAGACTCTGTGAATAAATAATACCCCCTTTCATCACCAGGTGGACATTTTTGAGGACATATTTTATAAGATTCCTTAAAATATCACTCAGGATGCAGAATCAATAGTACATTAGTGGTGGCAACCTGGATAACATGTTTGCATTAACTTATTTCCTGTTTTACAACTTTGTCCTGAAATCTGGCTGTCTACAAGTAATCACAAGAATCAGAAGGACTGTGTTTTGAATATAGGCTCCACTCATTCTAGCAAAGTAAATCTCAGACTACCTAATTAATAGATCTAAGCCTCGGTTTCCGTATCTACAAAGGGTTAATGATAGAATTTTTGTGAATTTAATGTGATAATGTTTGGTAAATAGTAAGCATAAAATAAAAAAAATGACATTTTTTTCAATTAAGAGGGCAGTATTAGGAAGAGAAGAATTTTTATACCATGGACATTTAAATATTCAGTAGGGTATGTTTGGATTATACTCAAAATGTTGCTATTAGGGGCATCACATACGTAAAGAAGCTGTTAAAGACATAATTGTGTATTATCATTCCTCACTATTGGATTTGTTTGCCATATAGATAAAACAAATCCAATGCAAATCCAAAAATCAAATCACCGCTGATCAATTTCATTTCTTATCTACTTTATCAGAGAGTAAAATGAAACCAATGAACAGGAACGTTTTCTTCTCTATGTTAGAGTCTGTTCAGCAAATTCATTTTTTTAAGATTCCTTACCCCGTCGACATCCCTAGCATCCTTAAGGCCAAGTTCAAGACCTAAAAATGGAATGATTGACAATATTTTAGTAGGTGGTAGAGGAATATGTGACTGATACCCACTAAATTATTTGTTCTGAGCTCTTTCAATTTTACTTGTTTAGGAGAACCATTATCATATCATTTTCTTAAAATAGATTGTTGGTTACTTGTTAAGTGATCTTTGTTAAAAAAAAAAAAAAGGTAAAGTTTCATTTTTGAGGTAGACAGTATTTTCTAAGGACCTCTGAACTAAACTAAGGCTTCCAGCTCTGTCATATTTTACATACTTTTTTTCTATTTGCTATAACATTTCTTTTCTCTACTCTCAAGGCTTGATAGCAAAGAGAAATAGCAAAATTCTATTTGTCATAGCAAATAAAAATAGTAGTGCTACATTACATAAGATTCAGAAGATATGTCAAAAAAAGCAATTTTGTAGATTTGGTTACCCAAGTTATTCCGCTATATCCATTCATCTGTCTCATGTATATGATGAATTGCTAATTTTTCTGTAACTCAATTGTATTTTTGCTAACATGTCTTAACTTCCACATTAATCATTTCTGCTGTTTTTATTTTTGCTTATTTAGATATGTTTAAAATGACTTATAGTGCTTTTTCGGTGGCGTAGACTATTTAAAAGATTGTTGAATTTACTTAACTTCGTAGTTTGTACGTGTGGAACCTGTAACCACAATAATTTTAGACCCAACATTAAGTACAGAACAATAATTTTGTGCCAGCTTCATGCTTGTCTAGTGACTTTTCTTTGCATTTTTGCTTTGAAAGCTGAACATTTTTATAATTTTATTGGTAAAGAATAGAATTTTCAATTTTTTCTTTTATCATTGTTTATGAAGTTTTTGATCAGTTATCTAGATGCATTGAATAAAGTAGACTTATAATCTAAAATTTGATGTACTTTGTATATTCATTATTGAAAAATTGATTACATTTTCTCTTTCTTTTCTTTATATATCAATTTCTTTTTCTGTAAATTCCTTTTCTATGAATTCAACAAATATTTGGATGCTATAAAATTCCAACCATTATTAAAATATTTTCATTTTATACAATTTAACTGAATTCATCAATTCATATAGGATTTAAAGAGTAATGACTTTATTAAGTGTCATGAACAGTATCCAAACTGAGCATCACTGTCATGATCCCCACATAGGAATAACTATTTCAATAAAACAAAGGTTTAATTTTGTTTTGTCAGTTCGTTTTCATAAAAAATTTTAACAGGAAATTACACACTTCTGAAATTCACTTTTTTCTTTCTTTCAATAATAATCAGCCCACTGAGACCAAAGTCCATGTGGTCAGACACAAAAGAGCCATCGATTGCTGAACCTGTTCACTCCTACCTTCAAAGGCACAAAAAGAACACAGGAAGTCAATATAAAGCAGGTAATTTGATGTGATGTTTTGTAAGAGGTTATGTGGAAATTACTAATGAGTCTGTATGTGCAGAACTAAAGCTGTTAAAGTTACATCTTAAGAAATTGCTGAACCATAAACTTAATCTTTGTCTTTGCTTCCAAAGGACTTACATAAAAGAAATACTCTTTTTTTAGAACCTCACTTGGCCATTTTGCTGTCAAACAATAGCCATTGACAAGCCAGAGGCAGGACATAAGGTGTGAAAATAGAATGATAGCTATGAAGGAAAGTACTCCTAAAAATTTATGTAGGTGTTAACTCAGTAGTATCAAAAGTGAGAGGAATGCTAGTCTCCTTTCACACTTTGGTGATACATCCTTTGAACATATGTCCAGCATCAAAGACTCTTCCCTGAAACATCTTTGGATCAAATTGAAGTTAGGTGACATGTTTCAGGCTGAACAGATCTGTTAAGATGGCATTTTCAGGAACAGGAAGAGCACAGGGAATTGAAGATCTGGGATGTGAATCTCTGTTTTCCTGCTCTCAATACTCAAAGGACACAGATTGTACTGAAATACCCTGTGTCATCACTTCCTGGGGAGACTGGCACTTATTTAAGTGATTCTAGACTCTCTACTAACACTCTTGATAGAATTATGTTGGTGAAATTAACTGAGAAGTTAGTTCTTCTCATTTTATAACCTCATTTGTCTTTTAAAAACCCATGCCTCTTCTGAAGTGCAAAAGAAAGAAATTTTGTAGCCAAAACACATCCAAAAGTAGATCGAGGACAAATCAAGTAAGAGTACAGAAATGCCTGCTTTTCCCTATTTTACACTCTCCCCTTTTCACACAACTTTTCTTTCCTATGTCTCTCTTATAAGGCAAGCAGCTTCCTTGAGATATTGGCAAGAATTCTCCCCAAAACTACTGTGAACTTGAAAAGAAAATGGGATCTGTAGATATTTCAAAAGTATCACTCACCTCCCTGCCAGACCAAATGTGTCACTTTCCTTCCAATTTGCTTTCCATCCAAGTAGAATGAACAACTATATGCCAGAAAGCTCCAGGCTGGTTTACCTGAGGTACTTTATTGTAATCAATTCCCTGAAGCCTTTTCAATGTCAAGGGCACAAACTCTTTAATTGCTACCCAGTAAAAAAAAAAAAAAAAGAAAAATGTTGTATTTGGTGTTAAGATAAGCAAGAGTACTGAATAAGTCTAAAATGTTTTTTATAGGAATTTGGGAAAGAGATGTATTTGAATGCAATTTTAAGTACATGGGTACCATAATGATGCTTATCACAAAACTCTGAAAGAACCACATTGTAATACATTTTGTAAATAAAACAGAAAAAAATTATTCAATCATTGGGAAGGAAGTATCTTGATACTGCATTTTCACAGCTGAAACACTGAATTTATAAGGACTTATATACCTCTTGTACAAACAGAAAAACATCCTTTTTCTCTATCTGTTTTCCAGAACCTATAACATGTAGCCTATAGGCAAGCAGAAGAACTACTCACAGACTGCCTTTTTTTCTCTTCTTTTCTTCCCCTTCCAAGTATCAGTGATGTGACTCAAATTAAGTTCTAGAAAATTTGCATCTCTGCTTTCTGAATTTGAAACCACCAATTCAAAACACCATGACTCAATTTATTTTTCTTGTTAGGCTTTGCCCTAATAATTTATTTGTCATTATTTTATAAGACAGGGAGCTAATACTTGTTTTTATTATGTAGTGTAATTTAATAGAACAAACCCCGTAAGAGCTAAACAAGCACTGTAGAGTACAAAGTAAGGAATTACAGAATTGCCAATAGTTTTATTAGGCTTTCAAAGGCTCAAGAGTCATAGGTTGTAAGAAAGTAGTAGCAAAAAACCTTACCTTATATCTGACAGTCTATTACACTAGATAATATCTTTTTATACTACTATCAACATTTATATGTCAGGAAGTTACGAACATAATTGGATGGGATGGAGTTGGGAGGAGGCCAGCCAAGGAGGGTGCAACAAATGCCTTTAATATAAAAGGGAGCAAAAAGATTTCAGTACAGTGAGAGAAAACATGTTAATATACAAAAACAAGAAAGATCTGAATAGATAAGAACTCAAATACAGTGGGATATGGAATACAACTTATAATTCATGAATCAGGTAAGACGCTCCTATGCTAAGAATATAACAGCAATTCTCATCTGGCCTAGATTCAATGATCTTTCTCGCTAAGGGAGGACAAATTCATATCCATAATAGAAACTTGTTCCTGTCATATCGTATTGCTTGCATATAGATGCATAGATGTTACAAACAATAACGTTTGAACTTCAGTTATGCAAAATATTATGTCAAAGAACTCACTTCTATCAGTCTGAGTGCCTTCCAAGGATTGGAGGACACTTAAGTAATTGGAGAAATTTTCTTATGTTTTCCCATATCTAGATGTCCTATCTGCAAAATGCTTACAGATGATAAGTGAGAAGTGGGAAGAATTCACAATCCTTTTTTCTAGTAAGAAGAACTTTTTATAATAACTTTTAAAAAACATTTTCTGCACAATTTTCCTGGTGCCATTTTTTTCTATTTTCTTGTTAACTAAAAAGATAATAAAATGAACTTATAAAAATAAAATTGATGGTCAAAACCCCACAACTCAATTATCCAGTGATCAACAGTTTTGCTGTTTTAAATGATTTTATAAGTAGCTATAATTATATTGAAAAATACATGTATCATATAGAAAAACTTTATCATTACTTCCTCATTTGCTTTTAATCAACAAATTTTGTCAATAATATTTAATTACTTCTCACTAATTTATGTAGTCATTATTTACTTATCTTTGTTCTACATCAATGCAGAAAGAACATTCTTGATTTAAAAGGTTGATTAAAAATATAGCCATTGTTTAATGTTTTTCTCTCTCAAAGTTCTTTTAAATTCTTATTTTAATAGACCAGATAAATTTATTTATTTGACAATTCACTCTTCCTTAAAGCTGTTACTATAAATGAACATATATTTTTGTTGCTATGGAAAATTTAATTGTAAATGTATTCTCCTTTGCTAAAAAGAATCTCGATTTTACAAATGGAACTCAGATTAACTCATATTTTATTAACATTTTACAATTTTTCACAAAATTTTACAAGTTGCAATCTTGCAAAATTCAAATATTACCCACTACAAGCTCTCATTTTGAAGACAAAATAAAGAACAAAATGACAAAAGTTTATCTCAAGATCATTTTGGAACTTTAAGGTTAAGTGACTGCCCTACTGGATTTCAAAATTACGTGGGGCCTAGAAGCCCCTTTGTTTTGATCAATTTCTCCCAGTTGGAATGGGTGTATTTACCCATTGCCTGTATCCCTATTGCATCTAGAAAGTAACTAACTTGCTTTTGATTTTACAGGCTCATAGGTGGAAGGGACTTGCCTTGTCTCAGATGAGACTTCGGATTGGACTTTTGGGTTAATGCTGTAATGAGGTAAGAATTTGGGAGACTATTGGAAGGGCATGATTGTGTTTTGAAATGTGAGGACATGAGATTTGAGAGGGACCGGGGCAGAATAATATGGTTTGGCTGTGTCCCCACTCAAATCTCACCTTGACTTGTAATAATTTTCATGTATCAAGAGCAGGACTAGATGGCGATAATTGAATCATGGGGGCAGTTTCCTCCATACTGTTCTTGTGATAGTTAGTTCTCACGAGATCTGATGGTTTTATAAGGGGCTTCCCCCTTTGCTTGGAACTCATTCTCTCTCCTGCCACCCTGTGAAGAGGTGCCATTTGCCATGATTTTAAGTTTCCTGAGGCCTCCCAGCCGTCCAGAACTGAGTCAATTAAACCTCTTTTCTTTATAAATTACCCAGTCTCAGATATTTCTTCATAGCAGCATGAGAACGGATTAATACAGTAAATCCATTTCCCAATTCAGCTCTCTTCTCATATCATTGCACCATTTTGAGGCAAACTTTTCAACTGTTTATTTGCTTTTACTGCTTCTTCACATTTTATTCTTCTATCTCAATCAATCAGATTTTTGTCTCCACCACTACTTAGAAACTGCTTTTGTCAAAGTCAACAGTAACCCTCAACTTTACTGAAGTTATTTCTGAATATATCTTATTTATTCAGTGTTTAACTCAGTGGAACTTTTTATTTTTTCTGAAGAATAAGCATCTCAACTTAACATAGTCAACAATGACCTCTTAATTTCTTATCAAGTACCTCCTCTCCTCCCAACTGTACCTCCCTGTATCCCCTCTCTCAATTAATTATGTATCATTCACTTAATTATCCAGGTCAAATACCTAAAAGTTTGGTCCTATCCCTTTTTCTCCTTCTTGATAGTCAATTAATCAGCAAATTCTCTTAGCTTTTCCTTCAAAGTACAGCCTGAATATAACTACATCTCATCAACTCTTCTGCTTCTGACTTGGCCCAAGTAAGCAGCTCCCTCTTGTAAAATGTAACTGTCCTCTTAACCAGGCATCTTGCCTCATTCCTTGCTACACACCTTTCTTTGTATATTCCAAAGAAAATAGTTTTGGCATTTAAAACTGTGAAACAGATAATATGGTTTCCCTGAGTAAAACTGCAGTAGCTTCACACAATACATGTTTTAAATTGTACAATGTTCTACATAATAATTAATTCTAAACTCCTTTCCGTAACTCATGTGGCCCTCTCTAAAAGATGTTTCCTCTATGAACTTTCCTCCTACTCATGTATCACCATCACCCATCACTCTACAGACACGCAGTTTCGATTTGGTCATAGAACACCCTGGGCTTTTCCCTGTTTTGTTGACTTTGGGACTCTGTACTTGAACTTTCTTTGTTGGGGGTGACAGTTTGGAAGACGTAAGTAGGTGTAGTAGACATTATTTATTATATTATTCAAGCTTCTTCCCTTTCTTATTTCATGTAGTGTTGATGTATCTGTAAATCAAGGTAATATTTTTCTCCTGGCCAAGAGTAGGCACGTTACTTAAGCTTAGTCAATAAGCTTCTTTCTTGCAGAATTGTGTACTTTGATTCTGTAAGGATGGGCAGAATTCACACTTTATCAGTGCAAAGGCTGCAGTTCTGAAGTAAATATTTATTAGTTTTTAAGACAATTCCTGGATATAACCGTATTTTCATCCTTTCTGAGACTTGATTCTTCAGGAATGTATCTGTTTGCTAGGGCTAGCATAACAAAATACCACAGAATGAATGATTTAACAACAGAAATTTATTTCCTCACAGTTCTGGAAGCTAGAAGACTGAGTTCATGGTTTGGTTTCTTCTGAAGCCTTTCTCTTTGCCTTGGAGATGATTGTCTTCCTCCCGTGTTTACACATGATCTTCTTTCTGTGTATGACTGTGTCCTAATTTTCTCTTCTTATAAAGGCACCAATCATATTAGGTTGGGGTCCACCTACATGACCTTTTTTTAACCTTAGTTGCCTCTTTAAAAGGTCTGTCTCAAATACAGTCACATTATGAGGTACTTGGGGTTAGGACTCCAATATGAATTTTAGGAGGACACAGTGTAGTCCATACCAAGTAATCTCTTTGATTTTATGACTGACCCTATAACCTTCCCCTATACATACGTATTTTATTTTGCATATCCTGAGTCAGTCTCTGTTTCTTGCAAAGAACCCACTGACTAAAATGGACTACTTATTTTTACTCAGTATATGTGTATCTCAGATACAGGACTCGTTGAACTATTATGCCATTTTATGGCCTGTTTACAGAGAATATAAAAATACATGGCCATTCAGTTGTGTGAGAGAGACTTTATGAGGCCTGACTGAGCAGGGACACTTTTGCTCTCTTTATTTAGGGCCAACTGATTTCTTTGAAATTTTGTATTCATAGTTTTCTTGTTTGTTCGTTTTTCATTCTGGTTACAATGAGAATATTTTGCTTGATCAAGGGGAAGAAAAAGCCATTTAAGGAACTAGCATAAATAGCAGTCAAACTTTATTAAGCTTATACTAACCTAGAATCAGATTATTAAATTTGTACACACGTTTTACAATCAGACTTTATTTTGCTATGGAAAGTCTAAGTTACCTAATAAAATGCAAAGTGATTTGAGACACTATTTCAATCTTCATTAAAGCATCATCATTTATTTATTTAAGTTTAAAGAATAACATATTATACTTACCCTTCTTCAAAAAGGTGCATCGCATAATCAAATGTCCAGTCTTCTGTACACAAGAATGCTGGTAGTAGGTTTTTAAAAGACACTATATGGCTGGGCATGGTGGCTCACACCTGTAATCCCAGCACTTTGGGAGGCTGAGGCTGGCAGATTACAAGGTCAGGAGATGGAGAACATCTTGGCCAACATGGTGAAACCCCATCTCTACTAAAAAGACAAAAATTAGCTGGGTGTGGTGGTGCGTGTCTGTAATCCCAGCTACTCGGGAGGCTGAGGCAGGAGAATCACTTGAACCTGGAAGGCGGAGGTTGCAGTGAGCTGAGATCGCACCTTTGCACTCCAGCCTGGGCAACGAAAGCGAAACTCCTTCTCAAAAAACAAAAACAAAAAGAAAAACAAAAACAAAGACACTATATTGATACAATATTAAAAAGAGAAAAAAGTATAGTATATAAATTAAGTTTTTTTTATTTTTCTACCTTTGTTCACTAGTCTTTCAACCTGTATTTATCATTAGACAATATCAATTGATTGTCCCAATGACATCGGAAAACTGGATATGATATCCTATTCTTGCCTCAGAGGTACTCCTATTTCTATTTTTACATTTACTGACTTTTTCTGTGTTTACATATATTCAGTAACTAAGCCAAAGACTTGAAATCATACTTATTGATGTTTTTTTTAATTTGGACTTGTTTTATCACCAAGACTCATTTCTCTTGAGTTACCACCTCACTGTCAGTCCATAGGGATTAGGTAGAGATGATTGTATCATTGGGTTCTGAGGCATCCCACTGTACTTTATTGTAGTGGTAAGTGATGAACCAAATTAGCTTGTCCAGTTAGACTCAATCTTGGATTTTTTGAGGGGAGTGATTAGCAAGGAGTAGCCATATTTTCTAGAGATGCCACTGAGCTGGAAAAATATAAACCTGGAGTTGTTACTAGTCACCTTCTGTCATAAGGTAGAAGCCTTTCAAAAATAAAGCCAACCAGGGTAAACCAGTGACTAACTATAGAGAGATACACATATTCAATGACACTTTGGAACTCCTAGTTCCATTCATTTTTCATGTCAGCAGATATCTTTGAGCTTTTTAGTTCCCTGAACAAATAAACTTTTCTTTGTTGCTTCAGTTTCAGTGGAGTTCTGTCAATTACGGTGGAAAGAATCCAGAATATTGTAACTCAACAAACGAATAAGTATCATTTTAGCATTTTGGGAAGTCATTTTCCAAATGCACTAACACTCATGGTATTCCCTGCTTTCATGGACTCCACTTACTTCCTTTATGTTATTATTTAGATGCTTGTTATAACATTCTTTTTTTTTTTTTTTTTTTTTTTTTGAGACGGAGTCTCACTCTGTCTCCTAAGCTGGAGTGCAATGGCGTGATCTTGGCTCACTGCAACCTCTGCCTCCTGGGTTCAAGTGATTCTCCTGCCTCAGCCTCCTGAGTAGCTGGGATTACTGGCACCCACGGCCATGGCCAGCTAATTTTTGTATTTTTTATAGAGACGAGGTTTCACCATGTTTGCCAGGCTGGTGTCAAACTCCTGACCCTAGGTGATCCACCTGCCTTGGCCTCCCAAAGTGCTGGTTGTTATAACTTCTATTTCTCTTATCCTTTGGCCCAGTTTACAGAAGAAGTACACATTTGGATCTTGGCTGTTCTGTAATTGTTAAAATTGCTGAAGATCTCTGTGAGTGTGTGTGTAAAGCGTGGGGAGTTATGCTCCATTTCCTCGAAGTTAAATACTAACAAAAATTTCTTTGAATTCTTCTACGTGGTAGATATGTCCATTTCCCCCATTTATTTATTTCTTTAAGGTTTTTTATATTAGCATAGACTCATAGATATTTATTTTATTCTTCATGTTATATTCCAATACTAAATTATTTATTTCGTTTCTCAAGGAGCTCTTGATTTTTTTTTTTTTATTGCGAATAGTAGGAGCAAACAAGATCTGGGCAGTAGGTGTGCTCACTGCTACTGGGGAATCATGCTTCTAGGCCCTCTCAGATGACAGAGGAAGAAAACATATGTATATATACTATACCACGTATAAACTCTTACTATAAATATTTTTATATTTATCCATCCATATGTATATTCAGGTAGACATGAGATAATACTGATGTATCCTACTCTAAACCATTACCATATGAATTATCCTAGATTTCTTTCCTTCATTGTCTGTAACCTCCCAGTTCAACAGTGAGAATCCTGGCTTCCACAATTCACCACTGATTTACTTAATTATTTAATTGCTTTTACATGGATACTCATTTCCAAATTGTTAATCACAGTCTTGTGGGGAAAATACTTTATGAGCTAGAGTATAGTGTACGTATACAGTTCCTTTTGCTTTAGTCTTGCAGATTCCACTTATTTCCAAAGCTGCTTAGATCAGCAATATTTTCCCCAGCCCCTTCAGTGAGGTGGTTTCAGATATTTGTAATACAATTTGATTTTTTCATTCTTAATTTTATTTCTAGTTCTGCCAAATTCCTAAATAATTTAACTTATTTAATTTGTGTATGCTAAAGTTCACCATTTCTTTTTCAATTTTTAAATTTAAAAAAATGTTTTATTTATGTTTTTTTAAATTCAATAGTTTTTGGGGTACATGCATTTTTTTAATACATGGATAGGTTCTTTAGTGGTGATTTCTAAGATTTTGGTGTACCCGCCACCCAGGCAGTGTACACTGTAACCGTTGTGTAGTCTTTTATCCCTTGCCTGCTTCCCACCATTCTGTCCAAGTCCCCAAAGTCCATGCCTTTATGTTCTCATAGTTTAGCTCCTACTTATAAGTGAGAACATCTGATGATTGGTTTTCCATTCCTGAGTTATTTCACTTAGAATAACGGTCTCCAGCCAGGCGTGGTGGCTCATGCCTATAATCTCAGCACTTTGGGAGGCCTAGGTGGGCGGACCACTTGAGGTCCAGAGTTCCAGACCAGCCTGACCAACATGGAGAAACCCCATCTCTACTAAAAATATGCAAATATATATATATATATAGCTGGGCGTGATGGTGCATGCCTGTAATTCCAGCTACTTGGGAGGCTGAGGCAGGAGAATCACTTGAACCTGGGAGGTGGGAGTTGTGGTGAGCCAAGATCATGCCATTGCACTCCAGCCTGGGCAACAAGAGTGAAATTCTGTCTCAAAATAATAATAATAATAATAATAATAATAATAATAATAATAATAATACTCTCTAACTCCATCCAGGTTGTAGCGAATGCCATTATGTCATTCCTTTTTATGGCTGAGTAGTATTTCATGGTATGTAGGTGTGTGTATGTATGTGTATATATATATATATATATATATATATATACACACACACACATACACACACACACAAATGTATATACACACATATATACACATTTTTATATATACATGTATATATGTATATATACACATCAACCAACAAGTGGAACATATATACATATATTTTTTATATACAGATATATAAAATGTATATATATACAGATATATATATATAAAATGTGTGTGTGTGTATATATATATATATACATACACACATATATATTCCACTCATTGGTTGATGAGCATTTAGGTTGGTTCTATATTTTTGCAATTGCGAATTGTGCTGCTATAAACCTGAGTGTGCAAGTTTCTTTTTCATATAATGACTTATTTTCCTCTGGGTAGATACCCAGTAGTAGGATTGCTGGATTAAGTTGCAGTTCTACTTTTAGTTATTTAAGGAATTTCCATACCGTTTTCCAGAGCGGTTGTACTACTTTACATTCCTACCAGTAATGTAAAAGTGTACCCTTTTCACTACATCCATGCCAACATCTATTTTTTTTAATTTTTTAACTATGATCATTCTTGCAGGAGTAAGATGTTATATCATTGTGGTTTTAATTTTCATCTCCCGGATAATTAGTAATGTTGAGCATATTTTCATATGTCTTTGGACATTCATATCTTTTCCTTTGAGAATTGTCTATTCATGTTATTTGTCCACTTTTTGATGGGATTATTTGCCTTTTTCTTGCTGATTGTTTGAGTTCCTCGTAGATTCTGTATATTATTCCTTTGTTGGATGCACAGTTTGTGAATATTTTCTCCCACTCTGTGGGTTGTCTGTTTAATCTGCTGATTATTTCTTTTGCTCTACAGATGCTGTTTAGTTTCTATTATAAATTTCTTTAGGTTTGATAAACACATAGTGTCATGATCTACGATTACAGCATCATACAAAATCTTTTCCCATCCTACAGTAATCCCCTATACTTTACTTCCTCAATCCATATAACCTATTTTTTGAAAGGCATTGTTTTCTTTTTTTAAATAGCTTTTTAAATTTACAGTAGTTTTACATTGACAAAAAATATGCAAAGATAGTATAGAGTCCCCATATATCCCAAGCCAGTTTATTCTTGGTGGAGATACTTTCGTTTTTACCTAGATAGTTTTGAGGGACAGTGGCCAGGTATTTTTGTAGGATTTCCCTTATTGAGATCTATCTGCTGTTTTTCTCATGATTAGACTGAGATGATAGATTTAGGGGAAGCAGATCACAGAGTTAATGTGCCATTCTTGTCACGTTATATCAAAGTTTCCAAAAAACCCTGGCAATCACTGAATTGTTTACCATCTCTATAGTTATACTTCTTACAGAATATTTTATGACTGAAATCATACAGTATGTAGCCTTTTTATAGACTTTTAAGAAAAGAGCAGTTTTAGGTTCACAGAAAAATTAAGAGGAAGGTACAGGAATTTCCCACATACTTTTTGCTCAACACATGCACAACCTCCTACACCATCAACATACCCCTTCAGAGTGATTCATTTGTTACAAATGATGAAGCTCCACTGACATATCATCAACACCCAAAGCCTCTGGTTTAGGGTTCACTCTTGGTGTTGTAAATTCCATGGTTTTGGATAAGTGTGAGTTGATATGTACTCATTATGTTAGTATACAGGGTAGTTTCACTGCTCTCAATTTTTTCCATGCTCTGCCAATACATCCCTTCCTTCCCATCCCAACTGCTGACAACCACTAATCACTTACTGTCTCTGTAGTTTTGCTTTTTCTAGAATGTCAAATAGTTGGAATCATGCAGTGTTTAGCGTTTTTATATTGGCTTATTTTACTGAGTAGTTTTACCCAAGGTTCTTCTATGCCTTTTCAGGACCCCATGGCTTGTTTTTTTTGTTTTTTTTTTTAATCACTGAATAATATTTCATTGTCTGGATGTACCACAGTTTATCCATTAACCTTCTGATGGACATCTTGGCTGCTTCTAAGTATTCGTGTTTATAAATAAAGTCATATAAACATCTTTGTGCAAGTTTTTGTGTACACATATATTTTCAGTTCCTTTGGGCAAATATCAAGGAGCATGATGGCTGGATCATATGGAAAGAATATGTTTAGTTTTGTAAGAAGCTGCAAAGCTGTCTTCCAAAGTGGCTGTAGCATTTTTCATTCCCACCTGCAGTGAATGAGTTATTGTTGCTCCACATTTTCTCCAGAATTTGGTTTTGTTCGTGTTCCAAATTTTGACTATTTTAGTAGATGTGTAGAGATGTCTCATTGTTTTAATATGTATTTTCCAGATAATGTATAATGGGGTGTGATATGGTTAGGCTCTGTGTCCCCACCCATTTCTCATCTTGAATTGTAATCCCCATAATCCCCAGATGTCGAGGGCAGGACCTGGTGGGAGGTGATTTGATCATGGGGTGGTTCCCCCATGCTGTTTTCCTAATAGTGAGTGAGTTCTCACGAGATCTGATGCTTTTATACGTGTTTGACAGTTCCTCGTATGCATGCATTCTCTCTTCCCTGCCACCGTGTAAGACATGCCTCTTCCCCTTCTGCCATGATTGTGTAAGTTTTCCGAGGCTTTTCAAGCCATGCAGAACTGTGAGTCAATTAGACCTCTTTCTTTTATAAATTACTCAGTCTTGAATATTTCTTTATAGCAACATGAGAACAGACTAATACAGGGGGCATCTTTTCATATGTTTATATGCATCTGTGTAACTTTTTAAAAGAGGCGTCTATTCAGGTGCTCGGCCCATTTTTAAATAGAGTTGTTTGCTTTCTCATTGTTAAGTTATATTACTTCTCTGTGTATTTTGGATAACAGTCCTTATCAAATGTGTCTTTCCAAATATTTTCTCCCAATCAATGGCTTGTCTTATTCTCTTGATATTGTCTTTCACATGGCAGATTTTTTTTAATGAAGTCCAACTTATTCATTTTTAAAAAATAGATCATGCCCTTGGCATTACATCTAAAATGTCATTTCAATACCCAAGGTCATGTAGGTTTTCTCCTATGTAATTTTCAGGGAATTTCATAGTTTTACAATTGACATTTAGCTCTATTATCCAGTCTCATAATGCAGTCTTTTCAGACTGGCTTCTTTCACTGAGCAATGTGCACTTAAAATTAATTAATATTTTCAGGGTCTTGATTCCCTTTAGTTCCTGAATAGTGTTCTATTATATGCATGTACTACAGCTTATTAGTATGTTCACTTTTTTTGTTATTTATGAAACATTTTGGCTACCATAAGCACTTACATGCAAATTTTTGTATAGACACAACTTTTCAGATCAGTTGGGTTGTATGTTTTGCTGTGTGAGAAACTGCCAACTGTCTTCTAAAGTTTCTCCTCCACTTTGCATTCTTAGTAGCAGTGAATGAGAATTCTTGTTACTCCACATCCTTGCCAGCAATTAATATCAGTTTTTTTTGGACTTTAGACATTCCATTATGTGTGTAGTAATTTCTCACTGTTGTTTTAATTTGCACTTCCCTAATGATGAATTATGCTGTACTTTTTATCATATGCTTATTTAGCATTCACGTATATTGTTTGATATTCAAATCTTTTGTTTATTTTTTAATTAAGTTGTTAGTTTTACAGGACTTTGCACATTTTGGATGCAATTCTTTGATGAAATACATGTTTTGCAAATATTTTTCCCAGTCTGAGTCTTGTCTTTCCGTTCTCTTAATGGTATCTTTCTCAGAGCACACATTTATAACCTTAAGGAAATAAAGAATATCCAGGAATGATTTACATGTTAGTAATTTATTTACTAACAAAAACATTATTGGAATGATGATGAGAGCCTGATCCCATTTTCTTGCTGTCCCTGAAGCCTAGCTTGCCCTCATCAGGAAACAGTCTCAGTGAACCAATGTCATCTTTAAGAAGCTTTATTTTCACACTTAGACATGTGATTCATCTGGAATTGATTCTGTGTATGGTTGGAGGTACAGACCAAGGTTTCTCATGTAAATTTCGTGTTTATTTAACATTTATCCAAAGGTCATCATTTCTGCACTGCAGTGGTACCTTAATGATAGATAATTCATTTGTCTGGAGTCATCGTGGATCTAAATGTGAATTCACTATTCTGTTTCTGGTATAATTATTTGTATATCCCTATGCACGTACACATCTTTTAAATTACAATAGATATTTAAATATGTTTGAATGTCTAGTAATATGAGCTTCATTATTTAGGGTCTTTTGCTTGCATTTCTACATAAATTTTAGAATTAGCTTTTTTGCTTCCATAAAAGAAAATGCTTTGCTTTTGAGTTATAATGGGTAAATCTATAGATTAATTGAGAGATAAGACCTTTATCATATTGAATTTTGCAATCCATAAACTTGATATAGTTCTCCATTTGTTTATCTTCTGTAATTCTTACATAAATGCTTTAAATCTGTGTAGATCTCTTTCACATATTTTTACATTTATTTCTATAGATTTAATTTTGATACTTTTATAAATGATAGCTTTGAAAATTTTCACTATTATCAATTTGTTACAGTAGATAGAAATATAGAAAATATAGAAAATATAGAAATACAGTTGATTTTATATATTAACTTGTATTCAGAAACCTTCCTAAGATAATTTATTGATTTTTAGAGTTTATCAGTGAATCCTTTTGTATTTCTCAATATAAATATTTATGTCATATGGGAATGATAACAATTTTCTTAGTTCTTTTACTTTTTGGTAGAGGGTAGTGGTGAGGCTTATCCACTAGCTTTGACTTTCTAATATACCATTGAATAGGGTTCATGTCAGTGGATATCATTGCTCATTTTTTATCTCAGGAATAAGTTTTTAATATTTCACAGCTAAATAAAATACAATATTTCATGGAAATGTTATAAGCTTAAGAAAGTTTAATTTCTTCCCCTAGGTATTTGGGAAGGCATTTAAAATTATAAATGGGTAATTATCATTATCAGATGTCTTTTTTGTGTATATATTAAATGATATTGTGATTTTCCTATTTTACTTCATTAATATGGTGACTGACATTGATTATTTTATGTTTGGAGAGCCTTGCATTGCTGGAATAAATACCAACTCATCGTAATGTACTATCGTTTTTACATATTGCTAACATTTATTTGCCAATGCTTTGTTTAGTATTTCTGCACTTAAATTCATGAGACATTTGTCCTCTGATCTTACTAACTTGCAATATTTTGGTCAAGTTGTGAAATCAATGCTTATCTCATAAAAGGCATTATCGGGGGACCTGTCCCGATAATCACATAGGTTCTTTTCTATTTTTCCTAAGTGTCAGCCGGCTTGAGAAATAAAAGGACAGAGTACAAAAGAGAGAAATTTTAAAGCTGGGCGTCTGGGGGAGACATCACATGTTGGTAGGATCCGTGATGCCCCACAAGCCACAAAATCCAGCAAGTTTTTATTAGGGATTTTCAAAAGGGGAGGGAGTGTGCAAATAGGTGTGGGTGACAGACATCAAGTACTTAACAGGATAATAGAATATCACAAGGCAAGTGGAGGCAGGGTGAGATCACAGGACCACAGGACCGAGGCGAAATTAAAATTGCTGATGAGGTTTCGGGCTCCATTGTCATTGATAACATCTTATCAGGAGACAGCGTTTTGAGATCAACGGGTCTGACCAAAATTTATTAGGTGGGAATTTCCTCTCCCTAACAAGCCTGGGAGCACTATGGGAGACTGGGGTCTATTTCACCCCTGCAGCCTCAACCATAAGAAACAGGCCACGCCCAAGGGGGCTGTTTATAAGCCCATACCTCCAGGCGCTTATTCTCTTTCTCAAGGACGTTCCATGCTGAGAAAAAGAATTCAGTGACATTTCTCCCATTTGCTTTTGAAAGAAGAGAAATATGGCTCTGTTCTGCCTGGCTCAGAGTTTAAGGTTCTCTCTCTTATTCTCTGAACAATTGCTGTTATCCTATTCTTTTTTCAGGGTGCTCAGATTTCATATTGCTCAAACACACATGCTATACAATTTTTGCAGTTAACGCAATTATCACATGGTCCTGAAGCAACATACATCCTCCTCAGCTGACAGGATTAAGAGATTAAAGTAAAGACAGGCATAGGAAAGCACAAGGGTATTGATTGGGGAAGTGATAAGTGTCCATGAAATCTTTACAATTTATGTTTAGAGACTGCAGTAAAGACAGGCATAAGAAATTACCAAAGTATTAATTTGGGGAACTAATAAATGTCCATAAAATCTTCACAATCCATGTTCTTCTGCCATGGCTTCAGCCAGTCCCTCTGTTTGGGGTCCCTGACTTCCTGCAACAAGGCATAATCACTTTTATAAAAATGGTTGCAGCAGTGGCTTTATTTTTCATTCTTTCCAAATCCACAAATAAAAATATGTAGAACAACTCTAAGGAAAAAAAACAAAATCCTTGGACAACACTGACAATAAAACTAGATGAAAAATTATTCCTATGGATGCTAAAATAAAAGTGGGTACACATACGCCATCAAAAGGCCTGAATAGTATTGGCATTAGTGCTGGAGAAATAAGAAAAACAAAATTGGAGTGGCATCTGACAATGACATGAGAAAAGGATAATACCCAAATAGCCAATTGGTATTCATTGTAGCATAAGGAGTTTGGTTTTAAGGCAGCAGCTAAAATGGGCAGGGGTTTTGTTCACTCTAATAGTGAGTGAGTGCAAAGGGTTCCCAGAAAGGGATAAATGAACTTCCCCAGAGGCAGTCTTGCTCTCACTGTTTCTCAAATTGATTCATCGAATTTTCCTTCAAAATACAGCCTGTGAAGATAAACTGCTGATGGTGGAATCAAAATTGATCAGGATAGGGACAAGAATGAAGAAGGGAAGAGAGTCTACAGACCAAAGATTCTGAGGGAAGAGCCAGAAAATCTCAAAAAGCAAGCATCTATAGTGTTAAACTTTACACAAAAACAATAGAAGAGTAAGTTCTGTGAGGCTGGAAATTGTTTAGTGAACCACACTTCAATTCTAAGAGTTTAAGGATACTAATTTTACATGAGGAAGAGCAACAGAAAAATATCATGATAAGACCCAGTACAAAGATGTAGAATAAGGAGCAGAATAACCTCCCTGAAGACAACAAAAGCACATCAGAAGGCTAGGTGCACAACCAAAATCAGAAGTGTAACTCATTTTAAAATGAGTTAACATATACTTGGAAAATTATGAAAAACATGAAGGAATAATGCAAATCAGAATTAGAAAAAAATCAGAAATGTGATGAAGGAATTCAGGAGAGTTTTGATGTCTTATCAATGGCTTTTAGAAATGTTACTATGATATGCCAGGAAATTATTTGTTTTGTTTGTTTTGTATCTGTACTAGGTATTTATAAGTTTTCATACATCTGTACATTGATGTTTCCCCTTTTTTGGAAAAAATTGTAGCAGATATTTCTTCAAATATTGCTTCTATCTAAGTATCTTTCTTTCTCCTCCCCTTCTGAGACTTCAACTATACATACCTCAGATTTTTCACTATGCCACACACACACATATTGATAGGCAAATATGATGTCCATTTCTGCATTTTAAAATATGTGGGTATTTTCTACCAATTTACTCTCCAGGTTACTTATTCTTTCCCTGACATGTCAAATCTACTATTAAATCTGTGCTTTCAATTCTAAATTTAAATTTAAATATTTAGTTCTTGGCAGTGACTCTTAAATATTAAGGTTATTTGGTGAAAATTTCTAATTTTTATAATATTTATGAAAATTATTCATCATACGTTTAATAATATTTCTTTCTGGTGACTAACATATCTGAATCAGTATGGGTCTACTTTTATTATTTATTTGTTCTCTTGAATTTTGGTCATTTGCTCCCTGATGTACATCAGTGCAAAAATCTTCAATAAATTACTGACAAACCAAAAAGCTTATCCACCATGATCAAGTTGGCTTCATCCCCAGGATGCAAGGCTGGTTCAACATCAGCAAATGAATAAATGTAATTCATCACATAAACAGAACTAAAGACAAAAACCATATGATTATCTCAATAGATGTATAAAAGTCCTTTGATAATATTCAACATCCTTTCATGTTAAAAACTCTCAATAAACTAGGTAATGAATGAATATATCTCAAAATAATAAGAGATATTTATGACAGACTCAAAGTCAATATAATACTGAATGGGCAAAAGCTGAAAGCATTCCCCTTGAAAACTGGAACAAAACAAGGATGCCCCTCTCTCACAACTTCTATTCAACATAGTATTGGAAGTTCTGGACAGGGCAATCAGGCAAGATAAAGAAATAAAGTGTATTCAAATAGGAAGAGAGGAAGTCAAATTGTCTTTGTTTGCAGATTACATGATCCTATATCTAGAAAACTCCATCGTCTCAGTCCAAAAGCTCCTTAAGTTTATAAGTAACTTCAGGAAACTCTCAGGACACAAAATTGTTGTGCAAAAATCATAAGCATTCCTATACACCAACAACAGACAAGCAGAGAGCCAAATCATGAATGAACTCCCATTCACAATTGCTACAAAGAGAATAAAATACGTAGGAATTAAGCTAACAAGGAAAGTGAAGGGCCTCTTCAAGGAGAACTACAAACCACTGCTCAAGAAAATTAGAGAGGACACAAACAAATGAAAAAGCACACTGTGCTCATGGATAGGAAAAATCAATGTCATGAAAATGGCCATACTGCCCAAAGTAATTTATAGATTCAATGCTATTCCCATTAAACTATCATTGACGTTTTTCACATAATTAGAAAATACTATTTTAAAATTCATGTGGAACAAAAAAAGAGCTTGTATAGCGAAGACACTTCTAAGCAAAAATAACAACACTAGAGGTATCATGCTACCTGACTTCAAACTGTACACTACAAGGCTACAGTAACCAAAAGAGGATGGTACTGGTACAAAAGCAGACACATAGACCAAGGGATCATATAGAGAACTCAGCTATAAGACCTCACATCTACAACCATCTGATCTTCAACAAACCTGACAAAAAGAAGCAATGAGGAAAGGATTCCTTATTTAATAAATGATACTGGGAGAACTGGCTAGCCATATGCAGAAAATTGAATCTGGACCCCTTTCTTACATCTTATAAAAATTAACTCAAGATGAATTAAATAATTTAATGTAAAACCCAAAACTATAAAAACCCTAGAAGAAAATCTAGGTAATACCATTCAGGACATAGGCACAGGCAAAGATTTCATGACAAAATTGCCCAAAGCAATTGCAACAAAATCAAAAATTGATAAATGGTAGTTAATTAAACTAAAGAGCTTCTGCACAGCAAAAGAAAATTTCATCAGAGCAAACAGACAACCTCCTGAGTGGGGGAACATTTTTGCAATCTATCCATCTGACAAACGTCTAATACCCAGGGTCTACAAGGAACTTTAACAAATTAACAACAACAAATAGAAACTGTTAAAAAGTGGGCAAAAGACATGAACAGACACTCCTCAAAAGAACACATTCATGTGGGCAACAAACATATGAAAAAAAGTTCAATATCACTGATCATAGAGAAATGCAAATCAATGTCACAATGAGATACCATCTCACACCAGTCAGAATGGTGATTTTTAAAAAGTCAAGAAACAACAGATGCTGCCTAGGTTCCAGAGAAATAGGAATGCTTTTACACTGTTGGTGGGAATGTAAATTAGTTCAACCATTGTGGAAGATGGTGTGGAGATTTCTCAAAGATCTAGTACCAGAAATACCATTTGACCCAGCAATCTCATTACTGGGTATATACGCAGAGGAATATAAATTATTCTGTTATAAAGATACATGCACACGTATGTTCTTTGCAGCACTATTCACAATAGAAAAGACATAAAATCAACCCAAATGCCCATCAATGATGGACTGGATAGAGAAAATGTCAACATATACACTATGGAATACTATGAAGCCATAAAAAAGAACAAGATCATGTCCTTTGCAGGGACATGGATGGAGCTGGAAGCCATTATCTTCTGCAAACTAACACAGGAACAGAAAACCAAACACTGCATGTTCTCACTTATAAGTGGGAGCTGAACAGTGAGAACACATGAACACAGGGAGGGGAACAACACACACTGGGGCCTGTCAGGGGTCACGGGGAGGGGAGAGCATTAGGGAAAATAGCTAATGCATGCTGGGCTTAATACCTAGGTGATGGGTTGATAGGTGCAGCAAACCACCATGGCACACATTTACCTGTGTAACAAACCTGTACCTCCTTCACATGTACCCCGGAACTTAAAATAAAAATAAAACAATTTTTTTAAAAAAGTTATAAAATAATAATAAAATAGATTCTGAAGTTTAAAAATACAATAATTCAAATACAAATTTATTAAAGAGCGTCACAGCAGATGACAGCTAGAAGAATAAATAATCAATAAACTTGGACAAAATTAAATTGATTTTTTTTCAGTGTGAGAAACAGAAATAAAAAAGAATGACTAAAGACAACCTATAGGATACCATCAAACATACATATGTATGTGTGTGTGTGTGTGTGCATATTTATATTGTGAAAGTTCCAGAAGGAGAATGAGAGAAAATGGGCAGACAGAGTATTTTAATAAACAATGGTTTGAAACTTTCTAATTTTAATGAAAAATATTAATTCACACATCAAAGAAATGCAACAACCTCCAAATACAATAAATATACAAGATCTACAGCTAGAAACATCATAATAAAACTGTGGAAACAATATAAACACTTCATCAGTAAAAATAAATCCATAATTTTATTAACAGGTGATTTCTGATCTGATTTCTAGTATTCAGAAAATATAAAGATCACATAATGTATTGATAGTAAAATACTATCAAAAAAGAGTCCTATATACAGAAAAAAAGAGTATCCTTCAAGTATGAAGGAGAAATTTAAAATTTTACAGGTACACAAAAACTTAGAGAATGAATCTCTAGCAGTTATATCCTGCATAAAATTCTAAAAGGAGAGCTTTAGGGTGAAAGGAAAGGATACTAGATAGTAAATTGAATCTACAGGAAGAAATAAAGAATACTGATAAAGGTGCTTAAATATAAAAGAGGTTATGAATGCATTCTTGCTTGTAATTATTTTTCCTATCTGATTTAAAGAGAAAAGCATTCAAGAAACATAAATCAGTGTTAATGAACTCAGAAAATATAAAATAAAATTAGCATGACAATTGTAGCTCAAGGTCAGGAGAAAAAATGGAAATAGGAGCAAAAATGTTGTGTAATCTTGAAACTAAATTCATTTCATCCAATCTAGATGGTTATAAATTAAGATGTTAATTGTACCTCGAGGGAAGTGACAAAGAAAACAAATACAAACATGGTAAATAAGTGAATTAGAATGATATAGAAGATAATATCAATTTAACACAAAAGGAGGTAGTAAAGGAAGGAAAGGGTTTCATAAGGAATACAGAAGATACTAAATTGAAAAATGTAAATCTAACTGTATCAATAGTTAAATTAAATGTGAATGTATTTGAAACTCCAATTGAAATGCAGTCTGAAAGAATGAATTAAAAGTACATGCATTTTGAATTACTTGCTGCTTACAAGAGATATTATAGATTTAAAGACAAATAATTTCAGACTTAATCAAATGGAAAAATATATACTACAAATGACAATGATATGACAAATAGAGTGGGTATTCTAATATAACCCAAAATAAACTTTGAGACAAAGATTATTATTAGAGACAAATAATAATACTTTATAGAAATAAAAGAATCAATCCATCAAAGACATAGCAATTACAAATATGTATGTAACTAACAACAAAGCTTCAAAATACATGCCACATCAAGTGACAGAATGAAAAAGAGCCTTTGAAAAATCAACAGTAATAGCTGAAGACATCACCATCCTATTTTTAATAACGGATGGATTAACTAGGCAGAAAATCAGCAAACAATTACGAGACTTAAGCAACACTATAAATGAAATAGACCTAAGAAATATCTACAGACTGTTCTTCTCCAAAACATCAAAATACACATTATCCTCAAGTACATATGCAATATTCTCTAAAACAGATAATGTATTAGGCCATGAAACAAGAATAGGTAAATTTAAGAAGATTAAAATTGTATGTATATAGTATCAAACCACAAGGAAATGAAATTATGTATCTTCAAAGATAGAAATTTGAGAAATTAACAAATACATGAAAATTCAATACACTTCTAAATGACCAAAGTATAAATGAGAGAAATTTTTTAAAAAATGCTTTGAAATAAGCCAAAGCAAAAGTACAGTATACCAAAATTTATAAGATGCAGTTAATGCTGTGCTTAGGAGAATATTTATGGATATTTGCATACAGTTTGAAGGAAGAAGTGCTAATGTTCTATAGTAGAGTAGGGTGACTGTAGTTAGCAACAATCTGTTGCATATTTCAAAATAGTAGAAGAGAGGACTTGAAATGTTCCTAACACATAGAAATGATAAATGCTCAAGATGGCAGATATCCTAAATACTGACTTGATTATTACATATTCTACGCATGTAACAAAATATCACATGTACCCCATAACTATGTACAAATATTATATATTAATAAAAAATAAAATAATAAATCAATGATTTGACTTTCTACCTGAAGAAACTATGTAAAGAAGAGCATGCCAAATTCAAAACAAGCAGAAGGAAGAAAATAAGAAATGTTAGAGCAAAAATAAAGTAGTTAATGGAAAAAATAGAGAAAATCAATGGGACCAAAAAGTTTGTTCTTTGAAAACATCAGTAAAATGAACAAATATTTAGCTTGATTGACCAAGAACTGAAATCAAGAATGATGTTGCTAACATTAGGAATAAAGTAAATTACATTACTGATGGCCCTTTAAAAATATGAAAAGAATTAGGGTTCTATGAACAATTGTATTCCAGCAAATTAGATAAATCAGGTGGATTGGCCATATTTCTAGGAAAAAAAAAATCAAAACTGACTCAAAAACAAATACCAAATCTGAAATGACCTAAAAAAAAGTAAAGAATTTGAATTAGTAATAAAAATAATTCTCATAGAGAAAAACTCTGGCCCATATCTCTTTACTGGTATGTTCTACCTTAATTGTAAAGAATAACTAACACTAATTCTTTACAAAGTCTTTCAAGAAATAGAAGAGGGCACTTTTCAATTTCTTCTATAAAGTGATATATTACTTGGATATCAAAGCCAAAAATATCATAAGAAAAGAAAACTAGAAGCCAATATTTCTTATGAAATATTGATTCTCTTATGAAATATTCTTATGAAATATGGATTCTCAAACCAAATCCATCAAAACCCAAAAAGCCTACTATACACTGTGACCAATGAGATTTATCCCAGGAAGTCAACATTAGTTCAACCTACAAAAATCAGTGAATGCAATGCACTGTATTAATACAATGAAGGACAAAAACCGTGTGACCATTTCAGTTGACATAGAAAACACATTTGACAACTTCCGATATACTTCCATGATAAAAGTGCAACAAAATAGGATCAGAAGGGAACTGTCTCAAAGTGATAAAAGGCAGCCACAAAACCCCCAGGTAAACATCATAGTTAATGGTGAAAGACAATGCTCTCTCTGAAGATCAGCAAGAAACAAGACAAAGGTATCTGATCTTGATACTTCTATTTAATATTGTGATGGAAGTTTTAGTCAGAGCAATTAAGCAAGAAAAATTATTAAAATATGTCAACACTGGAAAGGAAGAAGTAAAACTGTCTATATGAAAACGAGATCTTATATACAGAAAATCCTAAGGATACCATGAAAAGGCCATTAGAAATAATAAACAAGTTCAGGAATGTATTGGGATAGAAGATAAATGTACAATCTATTGTGTTTCTACAAACTAGCAATAGGCTACATATAATTGTAACGAACAAAATAATTCCATTTACAATAGCACCAAAAGAATAAAGTGCTTTCTAATAAATGTAACAAAGAATGCAAGACTTGTACACTGAAAACTACAGAATATTATTGAAAGAAACTAAAGAAACCCTAAATAAACAAAAAGAAATCTCATGTTTATGGATAGGGAGAGTTAATGTTAAAATGGCAATAGTCCTCAAATTTATTTTCAGATTCTATTCAATACCTATCAAAATTTATGCCACTCTTTTGAGAAAATTGACAAGGTGATTATAAAATTCATATAAAGATGCAAAGGACTTGGAATAGCCAGAACAATTTTAAAAAGAACGAAGTTGTTATGGTTACACTTCTTGATTTGATATCTTACTACAGAGCTACAGTAATCAGTGTGATATGGTAACAGCATAAGATTAGGCATGAAGCTCAGTAGAATATAATTGAGTAAAGAATTATACAATACGGAGGGAAAGGAGAAAGAAGAGCTGCAGGCCCTTGGGGAGCCCAGACCTAGGAGGTCCCTTGAGCCATGGCTGTGACACCCTCTTTGGGGCTCTGCAATTCCTGGCGTCTCCAAGCCTCTGAGAGCCGATGTGTTCCCCGGTGCCAGCTGTGGAAGTTGCTTGTGGTACGCCTGGTCCAGCTGCATACTCACAGGCAGCCGGCACCCATGGCGGCGCCTGGAGTTGCCTACCCCACTGCAGGCAGCGAATCTGGCTATGCGCAGTGGCTAGACCCCAAGCTCACTTGCTTGCACCCCCCTCGCTGCTCCACTTGTCCTTGGCAGGCATGGGATCCAGGCCAATAGCACAAGTCAAGCACAGCCTGCCAGGCCAAGTGGGCTTAGTGGTCCCGAGCAAAACTGGGGCAAAGGCACCACTGGCCACAGAGGTTTCCTGCTGGTGAAGTGACGCCCCAAGGATCCTGTAACACAATGATCTCCAAAGTTCTTTGATTACATATTCCAGCAATGAAGAATATTTGTGTCCCGTTTAACAGTAAATGTACATTTCGTTATTTATATATAGTGGTACTAATATATAAGCTTAATATAATCTGAAAAGAAATCAATAAAAAGTAAGCAAAACATGGGAAAAAAAAGAATTAAACTCTAACATTTACGGTTAATTGATTTTTCACAGAATGCCAAGACCATTCAATAGGGAAAAGATAGACGTATTGACAAACGGTGTTGGAAGTACTGGATGTCTGCATGCAAAAGAAAGCAATTGGACACCTACCCCACACAATAGATGAAAAGTAATCAGTATGAATGATATAGACCTGAACATAAAAATAAAATCTATAAAACTCTTAGTAGAAACCATTGAAATACATTCTCATGATCTTGAATGAGGAAATTTTTTTAGATATGACACCAAAATCACATGGGGAAAAACAAAAAAAAGGTAAACTGGACTTTATAATTTAATTTAATTGAAGTTTGTAATTAAAGCCTTTTGTACTTTAAAAGACACCATTGAGAAAGTGAAAAAACAATCAACAGAATGGGAAAAAAATGTTTTAATGAGGGACTTGAATACAGAATAAAGAATTCTTATTCTCAGCAATAAAAAGACAACCCAAGAAAAAATGGTAAAAAGGATTTGAGTAGACATTTTTCTAAAGGTAATATATAAATGACACATAAGCTCAACAAGATAATCAAAATCATTACTTCTTTAAGAAATAATGATCAAAACCAAGGTGAATTGCCACTTCACATACACTAACATGACTAAAATAAAAAAGACAGAAAATAACAAATGTTGACAAGAATGGGGAATAACTGACACCCTCATGTATTGCTGGGAGAGGAACTGTAAAAGGCTGCAGCCACTGAGAAAAAGAGTTTGACAGTTCCTTAAGATATTAAACATTGGTTTACCATGTGACCCAGCAATTCAACTCCTAGGTATAATCCCAAGGGAATTGAAAACCCATATCCTCACAATAACATCTATAGAAATATTCATAGCAGCATTATTTATAATGGCTCCAAATGGAAACAATACATTTAATTACGAATAGATAAACTATGTGAAGTATATTTATATAATGGAACATTATTCAGGAATAAAATGGATTAATTCCCAGTATAAATAAATGATTGAGTAAATAATGGGGAAAAAGGCAATTCTCCCATGCACAAGAATTACAAATAATTTATTTAGATACTCCTCACCCAAGGAAGTGATGCATGAATCCCTTCTCCTTATGTGTGGCCTATATATAGTGATTTCTTTCCATAGAGCACAGTAACTTAACAGTAAAGATATCTGATAAATGCTATTTCAGCCAGGTTTTCAAAGCCAATATCAACAATAATAAATCATTGACATTAAGTACCTTTAATGTCATTGATGAAAATGACGCTTTTCCCCCAGGCTCTTCCTCTCCCAAATCTATAACCCCAGTTTAATCATGAGAAAAATATCAGACATATCCCAGTTGAGAGACATACTGCAAAATATTTGACAAGCACTCCTTAAAACTGTTAAAGTCATTGAAAACAAGGTAAATCCGGGAAACTGTCATAGCCAAGGAAAAACTAACAAGACTTGGAGAAGAAATATAATGTGAAATCCTAGATGAGACCCTGGAACGGAAAAATTTTATTATACAAAAACAAAGGAAATCTGAAAAAAGTATAGACTTACAGTTAATAGTAATGTATCAATATTGATTGTAATTACTGTAAAAGTACTAAATTAATGTAAGAGGTTAATGGTTAGAAAGCTTGTTATGGAGTATATGATAACACTTCTCCTATCTTCACACTTTTTCTGTAAGCTAAAACTGCTCTAAGAATAAATAAAAAAGAATGAAGTATTGATACATGCTGTCACATGGATTCACGTTGAAAACATGCTGTGAAAGAAACCAGTACAATAGACACCAAATGGTATGATTTCATTTCTATCAAACATTCAGAATAGGCAAATATATAGAAGCAGAAAGTAGATCAGTAGTTACTAGGGGCAAGAAAGGGGAGTTACCGGGCGAGAGTAGATGAGGATTGTACTCTGTAGTGGATACAAAGTTTCTATTTAGTATTTAAAAAGTCTTCTGGATTTAGTAATGATGGTTGCATAACCTTGTAAATATACCTAAAATTACTGAATCGTCTAATTTTAAGGGTGAATTTTATGACCTGTGAATTAAATATCAATAAGCATGTTATTTTAAAAAAAACACACAGAGATACAATGTTAAAATAAAATTGAAAATAATAATGACAAAATTGTAAAATCTGCCAACATCCACCACATTTTTGATGAATCTATTTGATATGGGTAACTTTCATTTAAATAATTTAAATAATTTAAATGATTTAAATAATTTAAATAATTTAAATGATTTAAATAATTTAAATAATTTACCATTTAAATAATTGCTTTTCTTTACAGCTAATTGGTTTAAGTATTTCTGTTAAACAAATGAGTTTCATATTTTGGACACATTTACTACTGTCTGTGAAGAAGAGTGAAGGTGAGAAAGGTGTAAAATGTCTATATTGTTCCATTTCCTGACCTGATAAAACTATCCAAATTTGGAATTTTGAGGTACAGCATGAGGTGTTAGGAAGCTGTTTGTAAGTTATTTATACTAAGAAAAGGGAAATTTTTCTTAGTACAAAAATTAACGTTGCAAAATTTTCCAATTTTTTTTTTACGTTCTTCTCCTTTTATCATGTGGTTGTTTATGGTGTTAGATTCTGTATTACCCAACAGGCAATCTAACCATGTGCATAATTTCCATCAAAATAAAAACACCAGGGTAGTAAAAATAATGGAATGAATTTGTTATATAATATTTTTTAAAACTCCATGAGCTACCTTGAATTAGAAACCAATAACATTTATTGGCTTTCCTTACTCATATTTTGTCATTTGGGTTATACAGTTTGAAATCCCTATGCAGAAACATGATATTAGTTCAATAATGCTTTTAAAATGTTCCTGAACACTTTGTAATAGAAAGGAAGTGAATAATTGGCAAATAATTGTGATATTGAAATTTATACATTCTGTCCTTGAATATCTTTTTTTTTTAAGCATCTAGTCTTGGAGGATATCGTGTATTCAACAAAATCTCCTGAGTCTTTACTAACCAAGTACTTTCTGTGGAATCTTGTAGCAGGGAGAATGGTCCTTATTAATTGACTCAGGTGAAGATTTATAACAGGCATCAGAGAGCATGGAGGAGCAAGGTGATAAGGAATAAGCCAAAGGAGTGATAATTATATACATAGGCCTGATAATTTTGGGCAATATGGATTTAAGTGTGTTTATAATATTGATGGTTTGAGATTTTTTTTTTCCAACAGTAAATAGCAATCTGAGAAGGTGGTGCTCTGAATTGAGTTGTTTGCTTGGCAGATATGGTAGCGATACAAATGTGGCAGCAAATGAGGGCTACTGGGTAAGAAAAAAAGTTGAGACAATCAAGCCTGTGATTCCATTAAAGTAGGGAAGAGCTACTAAGAAGAGGCTTATAGAATGAGGGAATTAGAAATATCAAAAGATTATACACCTGTATAACAACAAAGAGTAGAAACAATGAGAATGAGGTGATCAGAAATGGGTTGACAAGGCTTCATGCTCAGACAGTAAATATTGTTCTGTATGACTTTTTAGGTGGGGCTTTTCTAGGTCCTGAAGATTTTAGGATATGTGTCTGGAAATAGGTGGATAAAGTACAATCAAAGAAAACATTGTTGAAGTAAAATAAATCCAGAATGAGACAGTTACGTGGACAGTTAAATATCTCATAATTATGATTGAAGTTTTAGTGGAGATAAAAGCTGAGCAACATACTTCTAAATGAGTAAGGCTAAGTGACTCAAAGGAGAATAGGTGACTTTAGATTCCCTGTCATTTCTTTACGAAAATATTTGAACTAATCCACAAGACTCCCTCTCTATGGCAGTCACTCATGTGATTTGTCTAATATACTGACTCTTTGCCCAACAAATACATAATAGAATTGTACCTCATAGCCCTCTTGAAAACCAAGATGGTAGATTTTAGATGCACTCAAACCTTTATTAGTTCTATTAATTCAATTTAAGTAATGGTAATAACAGTTAATATTTATTATTTCTTTTGGTTCTGCCCTGTGCCGAGCAATTGAAATATATTATCTCATTTAAACTTTACCACCACCCTAGGAAGTTGAAGCTGCTATTACCTCTGGGAAACAGATGAAGTGAAGGCACAGAATGTTTGTAACTTGAAAGTAATGTAACTATTTTCAACCAAGGCATTCTGACAATGAAAGAATAAAAATGGGTTGTAAAGTTAATTTTATGTGTCAATTTGATTGGGCCATAGGGTGCCCAGATATTTGGCTAAATATTTTTTTCTAGGTATATCTGTGAGGTGTTTCTGGATGAGATTAGCATTTGAATTGATTTATTTTGGCCAAATAAAGTAGACTGCCCTCCCCAATGTGAGACATCATCCAATCCAGGGGCTAACTAGGCCAAAAAGGTGTCGTAAAGCCCAATTTCCTTTCTCTCTCTCTCTCTCTCTGCCTGACTGCCTTTCAGCTCAGCTGTGATGTTTATCTTCTCCTGCACTTGGACTGGAATTCACACCTTTAGCTTTCCTGGTTCTATCGTCTTTGGACTTGGATTGGAATTACACCACCAGTTCTCTAGGGTCTCCAGCTTGCCAACTACAGACTGTAGGATTTCTCAGCCACAACCTTTTGTGACTATGCTTTATGAGAAAACTTTCTATACACCTATCTATCTATCTTATTGTTTTGGTTTTTCTGAAGAACACTGATTAATACAAGGTAACTAATTAATTACATACAACTTTCCACTACAGAAAAATTAGAAGTAAAAGTACTGCTGAAATACCTAGTTTTGTGTTAGTATCCATATCCACTTGTATTCTAATCACTCACATATTGACACTTGCTAGTGGGTATGAATTACATTATTTGTTGCCATGTAAACATTTTCATAGCCCATTAAATATATTTTTAATTAAATACATTAAGCACTACACATTATGCTATCTCACAGATATAAGCAGTACATAAAAGTAAAATTTAAAGAAACTATATCAAACCATGAGGCAAAATGAGTGCCTTTTAAAAATTATTTCCTAATCTTGTGCATCAAGAGTAGGAATACAACAGAAATCATAAAAGTTATCTTAATGTTTATTTTATATTTATTAAAACAACATGCTGAGTATGTGATTATGCCATTTCTGATCCAAGTCACCTAAAACAGAAATGAACTGCCTGTTACCAGGTTTCACCTCTTGTGTAATTTTTTTTATTACCACTCGTAAACAATAAGATATTGTGCACTAATGGGAGACCATATTTTATCTGTCACAAATCTTCAGATACTTGTGTTCTTAGGACCTTCAAATGTAACTGATCGATGTGATTGATATGATGTGACAAATTACAAGTAATTTTTAATGGGTTGGTTTGGTCACTTTGGGAACTGCATTTTATTTTGCCATTTTCATTTTTTTTCTTGACAATGTTCTTTGACATTAAGGTTCTGATATCTACCCACACACTGCGGGTTGGAGGTATGTAATTATATTTTTTCTTAATGAGTTTTTTTGCATAAAAAGCTAATCTGGAGCCCCATAAATCTCTCAGATGTGCAAATACATGAAGAGTACTCCAGGAGAGATGTGTAAGTGAATAACAAACTTGAATTGCTCATCACATCATGGCTCTCATTTAGGCACATAGATATCCTTGAGTATGCTTTTTTGGAATATTACACAAGCGTGGTGCAACAGCAAAGGCTACAGAAAGGAATGCAACAAAATCTTTCATTCAACTTTCATGTTTCAATCTACTTATTCTCATAAGAAATGTTAGCACCTGATATATTTCTTACCCTTTGTAAAATGACAGTCATTTGAAATATTATCTTTCAAATAGCTAGTGCATGTGGGGCTTAATACCTAGGTGATGGGTTGATAGGTGCAGCAAACCACCATGGCACACATTTACTTCTGTAACAAATCTCCACATTCTGCACATGTATCCCGAAACTTAAAGTAAAATAAAAATAATTTTTAAATAAAGTTTATTATATCTATATATCTATCTATATCTCTATCTATGTATCTATCTACCTATCTATCATCTATCTATCTTACCAGTAACTTAAAGAGAGGATAGAATATATTCTACAAGTAGAATCAAAACACTAGTAAATCCCTGCCTCAAGTCTTCTTGGAGTGAGGTCATATGCAAATAAGCGAAATCAACATAATTTAATTTTGTGTATGCCTCTAATTTTTTTCCATCAGCTCTCAATTATCATGTAAAAGCTCTTGCCCCTCTGAGTTCATGCTCAGCTCTATTCCACTCTCTCCATCCCCAAGTCCCTTTCCGTTACCTCCTGATGTGTAGACATTCCCTTTATGGATAAAGACTCTGGTACCTCATTTGGGGTCTTCATCATAGAAAAAAAAATAAAATGTTGTCTTTTCATAGAATATATGCACACACATACACAAACATGCATGTATGTATACATATATGTGTATATATATAATTGAGAAGAATTGAAACAGTAAACTGAAATTTATTCAGTCACATACTCCCTTTCTGTGACAGTCAGAAATATTTATTAAATAGTTACTGTGCTAGCAAAGACTTGGAACCAACCCAAATGTCCAACAATGATAGACTGGATTAAGAAAATGTGGCACATATACACCATGGAATACTATGCAGCCATAAAAAATGATGAGTTCATGTCCTTTGTAGGGACATGGATGAAATTGGAAATCATCATTCTCAGTAAACTATCTCAAGGACAAAAAACCAAACACCGCATATTCTCACTCATAGGTGGGAATTGAACAATGAGAACACATGGACACAGGAAGGGGAACATCACACACCGGGGACTGTTGTGGGGTGGGGGGAGGGGGGAGGGATAGCATTAGGAGATATACCTAATGCTAAATGACGAGTTAATGGGTGCAGCACACCAGCATGGCACATGTATACATATGTAACTAACCTGCACATTGTGCACATGTACCCTAAAACTTAAAGTATAATAATAATAAAATAAAAAAATATATATAGTTATTGTGCATCAAACATTGTGCTAAGTGCTATGGAAGTAACTCATCAACTAACATTCTAATTGGAAGGGAGCCCGAAACAAAGAATTACACACAGAAAAGATTTTACTATGATTAAAAGTGCACAGTAGAAGTATTATGTGCTTTGAGAATACATAATTGAAGAATCAAAACTTGTTATTTTTGGAAGTTGGGAATAGGTAGATTTAGCTTTGGAATTGACATTTAAACTGCGACTTGGAGTATGAGCTGAAAGATAATGAGGAATAGCAAGTGATATCCATCACAATAGATTCATTCCTTAGATAATAAATTCATACATTTCTCAGGGATATGCCTCAGTGGGAACAATGTTAGGTAATGAATAAAAGCTTAGGCATCAAGTACGTGAATATTTAGCAAACCCTCTACCACCATTATAAGTGAGATTTTGCAACTAGAGACTGAGGTTAAAAAGTGTTTCTGAGAAGAAAAACTAGTTCATTGCTTCCATTCCTCTAAGTATTGTTTTCTGCATAAATTATTTTCTCATTTTGACCCCCAACAGTCCTAAAGGTGGATTATGAAATAATGAATGAAGTAGTATTTGAACAAAAAGCAAATAATAAACAAGAGACCAAAACCTTACACTTTTCTTGCAGACTTAGATCTCAGTTGACAAATTCTGGCACACAAGAAATGAAGCTTTCTCTCTCCTGATACTACAGCAGTAGGATCCTATGCAGTGCCAAGACATGGGTTGAGGACAGGGCATCTGTTCTTAAGCATCAGTTCACTGAGTTGACAGTGAAATATAATTGTCTCTGTCTACATGGTCTTGTGAGATGTAGCAGTTTTCTATGGCTTCTGAGCTATTCCTGTGGGACAGACATCTGCTTGTAGTCCCATTTGCTTGACCTCCCATGACACTGTTTCTCCTCTGGTACTATGTGTCCAGGTGGTGTAGCTAGGATGCATGGCACAGTTCTTTTGTACTTTCCAGACCTACATATATTTCTATGTTTCTCTACTCCCCTAGCCTGGGGGAATCTCTTTGTAGTCTGTGTGAAGTGTTCCTCCTTTTATTTTTCTCCAAACAACCTTGTTTATGCCTATACCTTCAGGTCTTTCTGAAAACAAATCTAGAAACTAGTGTATTATCTGCTTTCTGCCTTGCCACAAACACTCCTGAGGCAAGAAAAGACAGAATTTGCCACTGCTTGAAGAGGAAAAAATATACAGTTAAGTTAAAGGGGAAAAAATAAAACATAAATTAAGATATCAAAATATTTTTCAAAAAAATATGGAATAAGAATTGTCCAGAAGAAATAGTTAAAATGAGACAAATAATTCATTAATAACTGGAATAAAATAAAGCCTTCAAGTGAGATCTCAATAATCTGATTTCTCACTGCATTCTGTACCTCTGCATTGCGTTGATAATAGCCTGTTTGCATTATGTTATTTCATACTTGTCTTATTATTCCTTGAGACAGGTATAGTTTCTTGCTTTTCTAATTGTTTTCCTTTAACAAAAAACACTTCAATATTTGGCTCATAATAACTGCCCACTGAATATACTAAGCAAATTAATAAATATGAAGGAGGAATATTTGAATCACAGCATTTCAAATATATAGTCAAATAGAAATATTGGCATAGTGGTTAAAAGGAAGCCAATGGATGGGCAAGAGGCTTCATGATGCCCTTTTTTAAAAAATTTCTCGAGTCATGTGTAAGCTCTAGTACAAAATAGATGTAAATGCAATTTTGACATTTTTTTGGGGGGGAGGGAAAAGCATAGGGTTTACGTTTTCATGATATAATCTTTCAAAACACTCTTTAGTGATACTTTTGAAATTACATATATGTTATAACTCTCCATTTTGACATAGTGGCAGATCTTAAGAACAGGTAGCAGACCACTTAAAAAGATAGGGGATAAAAATTAATATATATTTAAAACTGTACTGAAGACCACAAACTGGCAGATTGTCAATAAAATCTGATTTGAGTCAGAAACTGTATTCTTCAGAAAGCAGATTCTGAGACAGAGGTTAGCCTGCAGGCGATTCAGTAGTGAGTTCCTGTTGAATTACTACGTGTGGAAAGGAAGGGGGGTTGGGCTGGAAAAGTTCCAATCTCAACAATTGCAATCTCAAAGTTGCCTCAGCCAACCCCATGGAGCTCTGAAGATGAGATGATCCTAGAAATGTGTTTCAAAGCTTGCGGAGAGGGCTGTACGTTCATATATATATGTCAGTGAATGTTTCCTGCCCAAATAAAGGTTCAACAAGTTTATTCAACTGAGGGAATTTCTAAGGGGACTCACAGCAACTAGAGAAATAAATCCTTTGGTCTCAAATGGGATTTAGTGGGAAGAGGAACACCAAAACATCCAAGACACATTTTATCTAAGGGAAAAAAAGTGAAACAAACAGGTGTGCATATAACTTAAAAAGTCAGTGAAACAGAGTCAAGAGTCCAAAATACATTCTCCAGCAAAAATGGGAAAATAATTATATTATAGAGTGGATATTAAAAATGTGTCTTACTCCAGTTTCTGTTGTTATAGCAAAAGGCCACAGACTAGGTAATTAAAAAGAAAAGAAGTTTATTTGGCTCATGATTCTGTAGGCTGCAAAGTCCAAGAACATGGTGCCAGTGTCTGGCAAAGGTCTTCATGCTATGCCATCTCTTGGTGAAAGGACAAGTGAGCATGCTAAACAGAGAGGAAACTGGACCAAGCCCATCTTTTTATCTGGAGCCCCTCCCATGATAACTAACCCACTGCCATTATAAAGGTGTTAATCTATTAATGAGAGCAGAGGTCTCATGATCTAATCATCCCTTAATGATTCCACCTCCTAATGCAACGTATGTGTTACAATGGCAATCACATTTCCAACACATGAACTTTAGGGAGATGCTTCAAACCATAGCAAAACCAATGGGGAAAAAATAGACTATTCCCCACTTGCTATTAGAACAATCGCATTATAATTCGAAAAATAAAAGAGAGTCTTAGTACTACTCATTCATAAAAGTATGTTACAGATAACTAAGAGTTTAGGCTGGGCGCGGTGGCTCACGCCTGTAATCCCAGCACTTTGGGAGGCTGAGGCGGGTGGATCACAAGGTCAGGAGATCAAGACCATCCTGGCTAACACGGTGAAACCCTGTCTCTACTAAAAATAGAAAAAATTAGCTGGGCGTGGTGGTGGGCACCTGTAGTCCCAGCTACTCGGGAGGCTGAGACAGGAGAATGGCGTGAACCCGGGAGGCGAAGCTTGCAGTAAGCCGAGATTGCGCCACTGCACTCCAGCCTGGGTGACAGAGCGAGACTCCTTCTCAAAAAAAAAAAAAAAGAATTTAAATGGTAAAATTTAAGTGTAATAATTATCTACCAGCTAACTAAGGATTTAAATAGAGTACTGCTAAACTATTGGAAGAAAATGTGTAAGATTTTTTTTTAATGATTGCAGTGTACAAATTTTATTTTGTTCTCATAAAAAGTATGTGAAGTATTATTAAGCTTGGATTATTGATGAGGACACTGAGGCTCAGGAAGTTAAGTGACTTACCTAAGGACTCACAGCTAGTAAGTGGCAGAGTCTGAAATCAGATACAAATTGGTCTGATCCCCAAATCAGAGCTCTGAACCATCACAAAGTACAAATACAATTTTGTATTCTGAATTTTGTTTCATGTAACTCTAAGTATTTCCCATGTTGCTATGAATGCTTTGTAAAAATTTGTAATAGTTGTGTGGTATTTCACCATGTATGATCATTTATTTTTCTAGATTTGAAAACTTAGCTTTAAAATTTTATCTAATATCTTCAATCATTTTCCCAACAGTATTTTTAGTTTCTTATTTAGGATCCATTTTAGGCAGTGAAATCTCTAGGTAAAGGGTGTGAACATTTTTTAACTCTTATTTTAAGTACAGGGGTACAAGTGCAGTTTTGTTACATAGGTAAACTTGTGTCATGGGGATTTGTTGTACAGATTATTTCATCACCCAGGTATTAAGCTTAGTACCCATTAGTTGTTTTTCCCCTCCCTCCTCACACCTTCCACCTTCCAAAAGGCCCCAGTGTGTGTTGTTCCCTGCTATGTGTCCATGTGTTCTCATCATTTAGTTCCCACTTATAAGTGAGAACATGTGGTATTTGGTTGTCTGTTTCTGTGTTAGTTTGCTAACAATAATGACCTCCAGCTCCATCTATGTCCCTGTAAAGGATATAATTTCATTCTTTTTTTTGGCTGCATAGTATTCCATGGTGTATATGTGCCTGCCACATTTTCTTTATTCAGTCTATCCTTGATGGGTATATAGGTTGATTCCATGTATTTGCACTTTAGAATAGTGCTGCAATGAACATATGAGTACATGTTTATTTATAATATAATGATTTCATATTCCTTTGGGTATATACCCAGTAATGGAATTGCTGGGTTGAATGGTATTTCTGCCTCTAGGTCTTTGAGGAATTGCCACATCATCTTCTATGATGGCTGAATTAATTTAAACTCCTACCAACAGTGTGTAAACGTTCTTTTTTCTCCATAAACTCCCCAGCATTATTTTTGACTTTTTAATAATAGCCATTCTGACTGGCATTAGATTGTATCTCATTGTGGTTTAAATATTACCACCAAATTGTACCTTATTATAGAAAACATTGACATATTGGACTTCCTCAAAATTAAATATCCTTGTTCTGCAAAAGACGCTGTTAAATAATGAAAAGTCAAGTTACTGACTGGGAGCAAATTACCTATTTGAAAAGGTGTTTATTTAGAAAATGTTAAGAACTCTTAAAGTTTAAAAATAATAAACAATAGAATATTCTCAAAATACGCAAAAAGTTTGAACCAAGATATATACATAGCAAATAAGCAATTATGCTTATTGGTCATTAGGAAAAGGAGATTAAAACAATGCCACTGTGCACCTATTAGAATGATAAACAATTGTGCCAAGTACTGGTATAAATTTGGAGCAACTGAAACTCTCATAAATTGCTGATAGGTGTATAAAATAATACATATACTTTGGAAGATATTTTGGTAGTTTTTAAATCAAATTAGTCATCAATTTATAAAACAACCTAGCAATCTCACTCCTAGATATTTAATCTAAGTAACAGAAAACTTACATTTACACAAAAATCTCCATATGAATGTTTATAGCAGCATTATTCATAATCACTAAAAATTGGAAACAACCCAGTTGTCATTTAATTGATGAATGGATAAACAAATTGTGGTATATTGTTACAATAAAATACTACTTTTCTTTAAAATTTGAACAAATTACTGACGCGGTCAACAACATGGATACATCTCTAACGAATTATGCTAAGTGAAAAAACCTAACCATTAGATTATGTGCTGTGTGTATGACATTCTGAAGAAGACAAAAGTATAGCTGTGAAAAACACCATTGGTGGATGCCAGAGATTAGGGATTTTTGGAAGGTTTGGCTACAAAACAGCAGCATAAGGGAAATTTGGGGGAGTAAATTTTGGGGTTTATAATAATTCAAAGAGCTATACACCAAAATAAGTAAATATTAATGTATGTAAAAACCAAATTAAAAAAATTAACATTAAAAATGGCAGTTTCACATAAAGAAAAATTTCTTCTTTAAAGACTGGAAGATATGTAATATTTTACTCAAGTAGTTTCAAATATAAGTTGGCTGAAGGTGAACAGTAACTGTCTCCTTTCTGTAAAACATATACTCTACAGTTTAGTGCCTGATTTTCCTAGAACCTTCTGGTTCTAAGTCTCCTTTAAGAGTTAATGTCTTCTCCATTCTGGATTCATCCATTTTGTTCTCAGTTTTAGTTTAAACACTACTCCAGATCAAGTAATCGATAGGTAATATGAATATAATTGATTCGAATAACTCAGTGGCCCAAGAAAATCATCAATTACTATCTCATTCACTACTATTTATTTGCATCCCACTCCTTCCTGCAGAATTTTGAGGAACCTCCTAAAACAAGACAAGTACTAAGTACAGAGTAGCAATAGAAAAACAGGCACAAGAATAATAGAAGACCAACACCAACAAAAGTCAGCTATACTTCAGTTTTGACTTTGAGTTCCCTGGCAGCAAGGCTGCAAGGAGAAACACCCTCAGTTATGCATTTGTAGAAAGAAGAAAGCATGTCAAATCCTCATGAAGACAAAGATTTTCCTATCACTTAATTTTATATGAAATTTCTCAGGTGGGATTTAATAAAATGAATACTAATTGATGGAATAGCTTTAATTTGTAAAAATCATTTCCTGTAAGAAACTTTAAAAAACTGCCAGTATATAACTTAGAAATACAACACAAAAAGGGAAATTCTGGGAAGTGCCAAACTAATGTGTTTCATGAATTTCAGGCCTTTTGAAGGCCTGGATTCTTTAACTAAATATCAGGTCTCACTTGCCATCAGCTCTTGGAAAGTAACTGCATTACTCATATTCAATGGCAATGGAATTCTTCAGAATATCTTAAAAATACTAATGACTTTTAGGAAAGGACTTCTCATAATTCTCATTAGAATGGGCCATTCACTAGTTCGCTAGGCTTCTGTACATATGTGTGCAGATTGAGCATGGCCCAAAAGCTGAGTGGGCAGTGGCAACAGAAGTGCAGGCTACACTCTACTCCCTAAGTATTCATCCCAGAGTCAAGGATACCTGCTGTAATTAATATGCCTGGAGGGAGTTCTCTGACTGTGACAAATCTTTCAGATGGCCAATTTAATAATGATTTCCAACTCTCATCTTTCTCTGCCACCTACAATTTAAAGAATGAAAAACTTAATAAGACTATCCCTTGCTATTGAAATCTGTTCATTTTCCTAGGTTTCAATAGTAACAAAAGATATTTTGTAGAATTCATCTGAACATTTATCCATATATATTAATTTTCTAATTTTCCAATTCAGAAATCAAGGGGTAGCTTACAATTTCCCTAGCCACACTGTAGCTAGAGGTGGCCATGTGACTAAGTTTTTTACTTCTGTTGAATGCCGATATGAAACTGAGGCAATCACAAGTTAAGGCAACATGAAATACAGAGATGTCAGCTCTGCTGTCTCTTAGCTGCCAAAGCCAGGAGTTGCCTCCCTCCATATTTTTTCTAGTGTAAGAAATGTAAGCCATTTTGTTTTACCGCTGGAAGTTAGATCTTTCTGTTTTAATAACTAACATGTTCCTTAATAAGCAAAAGGATGACAACAATAAACCCACAGCAAGTCCACAGTTATATACCTCTTTTAATTTTGACAGTACCAAATACTCTACTCCTAGCACATTCTCTCCAAAGCCTGTTTGTTAAAAATCTATTTTAAATAACTCATTTATTTCTTGGAGAGTCAGGATTTGTTAGAGAGAATCTTTACCAATTTTTTTTGGTGCAATGTTATCAATCACCAATGAGTCAGTAGCTCCAAATTGTGCATCAAACACCTCTTAGCTTCTTCTCTGAGTCCCCCGAACCCACCATTATTTATATTTTTCTTCTGTCACATTGAATCACTCATATAAAAATGGCAATTTTTTTACATTTAATCCTAATACAAAACACTGTCATTTAAAATAATAATATGAAGAACACATTAATATTCTTCACATAATAACATGAAGAACCTGTATTCCCATGAAATCCTCTGACCTTTCCAAGGCACTTCAACATTTTATTTGTACTCTTGCTCTGAGAATGTCCCTGTGCATGACAGTAGCTTTGGAGTTTACATCTTATCCAAGTCCAACAGAATCCATGTTTAATTGACTTCCATTCTGCTTGTGCTTCTGTAACATTTCCCCAGAGCACATCACTGGGCTTGAACCCAAAATTCTGTCCTCTCTTTTCTATACTCCAAGCATTTGATAAATAGGCAGATTCCAGGGCATGAGTAGCACTGCCAGAAGACAATGCTCAGTAGTCCCCTAGTGGCCTGAAAGAGTTCACACAGTTTACTAACGTGCTTATTCTGTTCCATGGAGGTGTGAGAGACTCATTAAGCAGCAGTTCATTAAGTAACTGCCAATTAGCTTGATCCTTTCTGGAATGGCCAGGAAGCAAGTCCAGGATTCCACCTTTTCTAGGTTTTCTCTCTTGTGGGTCACACGACCTATCTGAGTGTCCTACTGTATTGTCACAATCTGAAATTCTGCTTTCATATTTGGAATACAGCCTTCTGAGTTAAGCTCCTTTGAGAACCCAGTGATAGAAAACATTTAAGTTGCCTTGAAGAAAAAAGAGGAATTTATAATAAAGACACAACCCTTTCTTGGGGGAAACCAAAGGCAGAAATGACACCTAGATTATGAAGGAATAAAATCAGGGAGGCTGTCAGAGATCCAGACAGCTGCTCTCTCAGATTTTGGGGTTGCAGTGACTCTTGCCTATGCCTCCTTCCATGGGGCTGCTGCAGTTCGGTTTCTTTCTGTCTCTGTTGTTGCATTAACTCAGCCAAACATGCCTGCCCCCAAAACCGACAGCCTTAGGAAATGACACTGAGCAAACGCTAATTTCTCAATCCCATTTCTAAATGCTGGAGAGAAAAGGTTTGACATGGCCAAAAATGATGATGACAATGATGATTATGGTGATGATGGTGGTGATGATGTTGATAGATATTTTTATTTATTGTTTACTATGGATGTGCCCCATGATAATTACTTCCATGCACATTTCATTTCATCCTTGTCATGAACCGATTACCCCATTTCATAGGTAAGGACAATGATGCCTAGAGATAGCAAATAATTTTCATAAGTAACTTGCCTGCTGGTGACTTCAAGTTTCCTGATTCCAAAGGCCTCTAATCAATACATGGTTAAGCCTGTAGCACAAACATTGCAAGGCCCTATTTCATGCCTGAATTTCTAACAGCCTCCCTGATTTTATTCCTGAGGGCAATTCTCAGAGAAACAATGCTGTTAAAAATTGTTTAGGCAGTCATGTTCTGGTCTGCTATAGAAGTCCATGCCTTTTCTCAAATCCTCCAGTGAGGAGCATGCTCCTCTATAGGACTCCGTCTTCTCTTCCAGTCTTTTCATCTATTGCATTTCTCTTTGCTTCCTCTATTTTCTTGGTTTGTTGTTTACAAACACAACATGCATTGTGTCACCTCTGAGCTCATAATGCAGCCTGAAATGGTCTTTTCTAATCTGCTAACAGTTTATTCAATCTCAGAATTTTAGCCCAAATATCATTTCTTTGATGAAATAATCCCTGATCCCATTCTTTACCATTGGTGCCTCCTCATTCAGTGTCTCCATAGCACATGGCTAACAATTCTACTTTTTAGCACCTGACATCTTGCCAGTACTATTATGTTGCATAGGGATACCTAGAATGTGAGCTTTCTGAAGGTGATCTTTCTCAAAATATAAAAAACCACTTGATAAATAAAAGTTAAATTGAATGAATACCAGTTGAGCAAATATAAATCATACATTCATATACATGTGCTCTTTAAGAAGTGTCTTTTTGGTTCTTTGGTATTTGTGTTTTGAAGATTGAAACAGCTATTCCCTGCCTATATTTTTTGGGGGTCCCAGAATGCCCTCTCATGTACTCAACTTTCTACTCCTAACCAAGCCAAAACAATTTAAAGCTGCAGTCCAGAGAAGTGTCGCTTTATTGTCCTTTGCTTCCCAGAGCAATTAGGTCCTTATTGCACCGGATCCTCCAAAGGGATCACATGGGGATTTAGTCACAGTGTCCACTGAGATGGTGGGTATTATTTAACAACAATATAAAAACTATTATTGGTCCAGAGAGTTTAAGAGCCCTAACTTTAGAGAAAGGATCAGATCTGATATAATGCACAAAGCACAATGTATAAAAGAGTGTATTTTGGCATCAGAGGTAATAATAGCTCTGAGTCCTCAGGTAATAACATATTTTTGTGAGTCTCATTCTCCTCTTTTGTAAAATGAACATAAAAAGGCTATTTTGTAAAGTAGTTGCACAGATTAGAGACAGTATCATTGCATATGCTTGAAATATGTTGTGTTCAATAAATGTTATTATATAATCCTTTACTTTTGCTCCCTCTTTTAGTATAACTCCGTAAGCCCTCTCCTTTTTTTCTCCTTAACAGTACATTGTACCACCAGGGATATCTTTAAATTTCCTTTCTCATGTCACTCCAAAGAAACTCTGTGGTAGAGTTTTCATTACTCCAAATATTGACTTGAGATGTCTATCAATCAGATCTTCTTTAGAATACCCACAAGTAGCCTCAGTGTCCTGCTGAATGTTCATGGGGACCATGTAATTTCCTCAGAAAACATACATCCCCAGCCAGGCATGGTAGCTCAAGTCTATAATCCTAGCACTTTGGGAGGCTGAGGTGGGCGGATCATGAGGTCAAGAGATTGAGACCATCCTGGCCAACATGGAGAAACCCCACCTCTACTAAAAATACAAAAATTAGCCGGGCATGGTGGCGCGTGCCTGTAGTCCCAGCTACTCAGGAGGCTGAGGCAGGAGAATCACTTGAATCCGGCAGGTGGAGGTTGCAGTGAGCCAAGATCACGCCACTGCACTCCAGCCTGGTGACAGAGCGAGACTGTCAAAAAAAAAAAAAAAATCCCCATACAGACCGTATTCCATACTATATTTGAATACTGTTGTTAATGGGAAACTCATTTTTTCCTATGATAGCCCATTCCACCCCTTCAATAGATAATGACAGTCAGAACTTTTTCCTTTAATAGAACTGAAACTTACTTTTCACTGACTTCTGGCCATTGGCCTTGGTTTCTACCTAGCTGCTTTTGAGTTAGAATAATCTAGTTTTAAATCTTGATTCTGCCACTTGTTAGCAATGCGAGATTGTGCAAGTTACATATCCTGCTGATCTATCAAATTGGCACAATTATAGGCAACTCATAGACATTTGTGTTAGCAATGAATGAGTTAGAGTCTGTAGATTTATTAACATAATTCTTGATACACAGTTAATGTTAAACATTTGCTATTATTGTTACATTAATTTCTCCATATACAGCCCTAAATTTTATTTATTGTTTTTTGACTGATTTGATCTTCATTACAGGTTCTAAGACAGTTAAGGAAAAAGTTCCAAGTATTCTGGTACTGAATGGGAAGTAGTTACACAAATACTGAAATTCTTTGGTTCCAGACTCTCATACTGTTGAGAAAACTAATACTCAGAGAGAAGTAATTTGAGTTATTAGTAGACAAAGCAAGGGCTTCTGTTTTTGAAGCTCAGTTTCATTCTCCCCTGTCATTACAAGATGACTGAAAACTATTTTAGTCAAAATCAACTTCGTGGCAACAAGAGCCTGGCATATTGGTTTATCTGGCTTACTTAAGAATTATTTGAATATGAATCTACAGATTTGTGTTCAGCTCTACCCTTTAACAGCTTTGCAATCATGGAGACATTATTTGACCTCTCCAGGTCTTATATGTACCCAAGTAATGAGAATAATAACACCATTCTGCTTAACTTGTTTGGAGAGGGAGATAAAAGTGATATATTGTACTTATAAATGATTTATGCACCTGAATATGCTACACAATGAAAGCAAATTATATCATATGTTTATGTAGTATCAAACTTACATGTTACCAATAATTTCACCTATGACAAATATCTCAAAAGAAACTTTTAAATCCAATTTACTCTTAGGACTTCTGGAAATTATGTTAAAAATCCCTTTTCTGCTTACCTTTTTGGCTCAATATCATTAATATTCTTCTTTCTACCAATCTCCAAATAGGCTTTAGAGTATTTGGGGATTATTTTTAAGCCACATATGTTTAAAGAGGAGCAAATTACAAAATGCAGGATGTACAGCACATAACTGGTGAGATTTGTTCCTGTAGCTAATGCAAAGATTATTGGAATACATCCTTCATTGTGCAGATTTAGATGCCATTTAATAATGCTAGAATAAAGGAGGAGCCTGCTCAAGAAAATTGCATTTGAAGGAGAGAAGAAATTGCTGTTCAGCCTTGCTGTAACCCCTTCTGTGACAGGTTGGACAAACAATACAGCTTCCAATTGCTATATGTCCTCAAAACCTTTTTTGGAGGTAGGCCTCTTCTTGCATGGTCAGATGGCTACATGGAGTGATCAATGTTTCTGCCCTTCCACCTGCCTTTATGTTCCTTCATACAAAGCCATGTGAGTCACTAGAATCCACTTGTGCACTCTTGCAATTCTTCCAGGAACTGGAATGGAGAGGGTTACTTCCCTCTTTTCTTAATCATAGTACATCACACTGTGTTCAAGCCCCACTAAAATTTGCTATTTTGGGAGTCCTCTGGTATATAGATTGGAAGGTAGACCAGTCTATGTGTTTATATATGTATACCTATGCCTCAGGAGAACAATACCAAACTACCTTGTGTCTCTCTCTGGGGCCTCTGTGTGGGCCTTCTGCTTTTCTCAGAGCAAGTGTGTTGCCAAGAAAGAAGATGTCAGTAGGTTCTTCTTCTAGAGATTTTCAGTTTTTAGGAGTGAATAACTTACCATTTTATCATCTCTTTTACTTGTCAGAGAGGAGACTGGCTCTTCCTACAGAAGGTGATAGAAAACTTTAATCCAATGGTTTTTCCCAAATATCTATGTCCTTTTTCTTCTCCCCAGTTATGTACTTAATTTGGGAGGGAATAGTTTAATGAGATTAGTTCTGCTAATCTACTGTAAACTAATCTAAGTTTTTGGATGCAGAAAGATGGCTGATCCAAATAGCAGGTACTTCTTTGAACTTAGCCTGCAGAGCCTTTAGCACATTTTAGTTTTAATTATGAACTCTAGTCAAATTATTGCATGTTGCACTCATAATGTTCTCAACTGGGAAAAATAACTCCCCACTATAAAGCATTTTAAAATATGAAGAGAATATTTGGTTGTTAGCACGCATAGAGAACACTAGAGACACTCCGTGAGTAAGAGCAAGAGATCCTAAGTATGCTGAAATGTGTGGGACTGTCTCGCCTAGTGAGGAATTGCCCTTCTTCAAATATAAATAGCATATCCCATTGAAAACACTTCACTGAATATCAGTCTGTAAGAATTCTTAATAATTTATGACCATGAGATAAATTTACAAAATTTTTGTTTCATTTGAATTGAATTGATTTCTCTTAATCAAGAGACCACCTTTTATGTTTCTTGACTATTTTCATTGTGAATTGTAAACTTATATATATCCATATATCCATTGAAGTTATTGGCCTGCTTTTTACTTATTGTATATTTACATAGCAATCCTTTTGTAAATTTGCAAATCTAATCTTTATATTTGTGTTGCTTGCTTTAACTCCCTTAATAGTGTGCTCATTTAACATCCTTATTTGTCTCAGAAACATAGGTATGTTTGTATGTTTGGACAAGTAGCTACCCTCAATATATCATAAGGGGGAAATACTTACAAGAACACTATGCTGTGGAAATACTGTGAAATGAGTGGACTTGAGAGGCTAAATCATTCATCGAGGAACATTTTACTAAAGTTTGAGTGGTTTTATTCTAGAGCAAGTTTTCTCAGCATTGGTACTACTGATGTGTTTTGGCAAGATAATTATTTTTTGAGGGGACTGTCCTATGCATTGTAGGATAACAGCATTCCTGGCCTCTACACAATGGCTGCCAGGGTATATAATCCCCCACTTGTGGAGGAACACAATTTCTGTAGAAAGCACACTTCCAATGCTGTTTTTGAAAAGATCAATGGAGATTTTTAGGGAGAAAGTGCAAGTAAATGTTATCCAAGAGGCAATTCTGTAGCTAACTTGAATATTTGGTTTGTTTATATATGCATACATAGACATATTGATTTTTTGTATTATAAAAAGTGCCATTTAGTGTCTGGTGCCAAGTTTGCTCTTTCTGTGCAATAATTTTCTCTAATTAACACTACATCTTTAATAAGTCATTTTATATAAACAAAGCAGTGTTAGTGTGAGTGGTATATGGAATTAAAGTACAGGACACAAAAGGAATGATTTCACATTATTCTTTTACAAAATCCAGCATGTTAATAGCACTATCGTTGAAGATGATGGTAGTTCTAGGCTTCCCAGTGGAGATAAATAACAGAGCATGCAAGTGCTTGTCTAAGGTGATTCATAAAAGAGAAAATATTTTGGAGAAACAGCTATGAAATATGCAGGTATAAGATAGATATTCTCAAATTTGCCAAACGGAAGTAATTCTCTAAATGAGAGAGCTCTGATAACTGGTTTACGTAGTCAAAACGCTACATAAATATGACCATACATCTCCCAAAGTCGTAGCCATTGTCGAATTCTTAAACTCTTTTTTTTTTTTTTGCTAATTCCACAGGAGAATAATAATTGCAATCTAATTAACAGTGTTGCTAATAGATCTTGTCTGCCCGAATTCTGACAGAGATGTGTGAACAAGGGACTTCATTACATACAAATTCTCAGATTACAGAACTTGAGTATCTTAGATATTGCTAGGTCTATCACATTCTTTTAAAGGTAAGCTCAGCAGAGGGAAAATGACTAAGATTACATAGCTCATTATCCCTTCTAGCTCTACTAATATTTTTTCCTATTGAGAGTAAAAAAAGTCTTCCTTCTCTTACATTAATTTCTTATTAATTAAAACCTATGAAAAAATAAAATCAAGTGTGTTAATCTTTTGTTTAGAGACAACTGTAATTTATTAAGTGTTTCTTGTTGAAAAAATCATTTTAATGAGAAATTCTATAGGAATATTTGTAAAACTGTACAATATCATCCACGATTTTTTTTACATGTGAAAAAATTTCTGACAATCTGCAGAATGGGAGACAACTTTTGCAATCTATCCATATGACAAAGGTCTAATATCGAAATCTACCTGGAACTTAAACAAATTTACAGGAAAAAAATATTAAAAATTGGGTAAAGGAAATGAACGGACGTTTCTCAAAAGAAGACATTTATGCAGCCAACAAACATGAAAAAAAGTTCAACATCGCTGATCATTAGAGAAATGCAAATCAAAACAATGAGATACCATCTCACACCAGTCAGAATGACGATTATTAAAAATTCAAGAAACAACAGATGCTGGCGAGGCTGTGGAGAAATAGGAACTTTCTTCACTGTTGATGAGAATGTACATTAGTTCAACCAAGATAGCGTGACAACTCCTCAAAGACTTAGAACCAGAAATACCATTTGGCCCAGCAATCCCATTACTGGGTATAAAAGAATAAAAATCATTCTATTATAAAGATACAGACATGTGTATGTTCATTGCAGCACTATTCACAATAACAAAGACATGGAATCAACCCAAATGTCCACCAATGATAGACTGGATAAAGAAAATGTGGTACATATACACCATGGAGTACTATGCAGCCATATAAAGGAATGGGATCATGTCTTTGCAGGGACATGGATGGAGCTGGAAGCCATTATCCTCAGCAAAATAACACAAGAACAGGAAACAAAACAAAACACCACATGTTCTCATAAGTGGGAGGTGAACAATGAGAACACATGAACACAGGAAGAGGAAAAACAACACATGCTGTGGCCTGTTGGGGATGTGGGGAAAGGGAGAGCATCAAGTTAAGTAGTTAATGCATGCAGGGCTTAATACTAGGTGATGGGTTGATAGGTGCAGCACAACACAATGGCACACGTTTACCTATGTAACAAACCTGCACATTCTGCACATGTATCCTGGAACTTTAAATTAAATTAAATTTAAAAAAGAAAAAACAAAAACATTCGGTCTGAAAACCCTCACAAAGCTTTCTCTCTGATGACACAAATCAGAGATGAGTGGTAAACATTTCGATAGGAAAAAAAAAGAAACACAGATCTAAAAAAGATAACAGGGATAAATATAGGGTTCTCTGGTTGAAAAAAAGTTGTGATTAATCTGAAGAGAATTATTTCATAGCATCATATATACCAGATATTTAGGGGATTTAAGTAATAGCACACTTAATGTGAGTTGAAAATACATTGTGATCACCAGTGGTAGGAGGTTTAAAGGAGAATAAAAAGAATGAGTAGAGATGTGAAAATTGGATCCCATAACAAACACGAAAAGGTTTTAGGGGTGTTTCCCTTAAATTAGAGAAAACATTGTAGGTATCTTCATTTAATTGGCTGCCATGTGTCTTTCCCTGACAATAATGTATTCAAACGTTCCTCAAATGATTTATGTCATGTTCTCAAGTGTGACTGTTACGGCTGTGCTAGATGTCTGCAATAGTTACCATGGCCTTTGTAGAATTTGAATTCCAAAGGTACAGACTGTGAACTGGGTGAGTAAGGAATGAATTTGGCAGGAGGATGGTGAATTGAGACTTTTGATCCTCAATCTTATGTTCCTGAATTTAAATATCTGTGTGTATGTGTGTGTGTGTATAATATATATTATAAAATATAATATTTTATATTATATATATTTTTATAATATATATATTATATTATATTATATAAATATATTCTATATAATATATATTCTATATAATAGATATACACACACATATCTATTCACAATGCCTTTTAAAATTTTTTTATTTAATAAATTTTTTATTTAATAAATTTTTATTTAAAGAAAAGATTAAAAGTTTAAGGCTTAAATGAACTTTTTTTGACTACAACTTCCTCCTAGCAGAACTGAGAATAGAATGCTGTTTCTTGGATTCAGACATTTTCCTTTCAACCTGTGGCAAGCCTGAGAAAATAGTGCCAGAATCATCAACATTAACCACGTCTATAGATGCTTTATTTTTGCAACATTTCTGCATGAGGAGCCTTAACCTGCTATTTCTCAGGCATTGTCTCCTATAGGTGGCATTCAAGAAACTGACCAGGTCTCTAATGATAGCAGTAGATCCCACTTCTGTCTTAGCTTAAGATGACACACCTTTGACAAGAAGGGTCAGCAAAGTATCTTTAAAAAAATATTTAATCCACAGCAAGATGGCCGTGAGTTGTTCTGTTGTGTTACAAGTGCTGGTAAATAAATCATGAGCAATAATCTTTAAATACATAAGGGTGTGGCTGTAGCTAGTAATGCTGATGAAAATCAGAAAGGGAATCCAAGAGGGTCACAATAGTGTTAGACTTTTTAAACAGTAAGAGCTGTGTAGGAATCCTTCTGTGAACCATAAAAATAATAAACGCTGAGCCTATTGGAACATAATCTCAATCAGCAAGATGCCAATGCTTTCCAGATTTCCTCACAGGGCCCTGCTAATTCCATGCCAAAACTGGCAGTGGATTTCTTCCTTCTAATCTCCCTTAATGCCTTATTCGATTATTGTCACTGCTCTCCGACCATGCACTGTCCCTTCAGACTCTCCTTTCCCAACTGAGTCAGTCAGAGGAGCCTGGGTGTCTGCAGGACATAATCTAAGACCACAAACCACCTTGTTCCACGTGAGAAGGAAACAAGAAAGAAGGGAGCCAGGGGAATCCTGCAAATTTTTAGGCAACCTCTTTATCTATTGGATTACTGACTTGAGGCAAACAAGGAACAGAGATATGAAGGGTTTGAAAGATTTCTCCAGTTGATTGGCAGAGAAGAGCTGGCTAGCAGGGAGGACGACCCTAGGAGGGTGAATTCTGCATTTCAGTGCACTGCAGGATGGCGTCGTCTCTGCCCTGGCTGTGCATTATTCTGTGGTGAGTAAGATCCTTTTTCCTGATTTTTCTTTTTATCTCAGAGGAAAGGAAAAGTATACATCCATTGGGTGACTCCTATATCAAATCATGAAAGAGGCCAGAAGTGGTGTTGCATGTATTTGTAACAGGGTGGAATAGAGTAGATTAGACAAAACCTCTTCTCTGAGCCTGGGAGTAAGGATCATTGACTGTCTACACACAGGCTAGAAAATGCCCTAGGGAAACTCGAAGTTGAAGGCAACTTCTACTCAGAAAACGTCAGTCGGATCCTGGACAACTTGCTTGAAGGCTATGACAATCGGCTGCGGCCGGGATTTGGAGGTAAGAAGCTGCATCTTTGCTACACAAACACCTGTAGTTTCCTTCCTCCGTTTCTGCCCTTTGAAGACCCAGAAGAGTCAGAAACTAGGTAGTGGGAAGGGGCAGGGTACGGGAGAGAGACCATGGGTATGTTCCCATCCAGTCTCTGCCTCATCCACCATTAGTAGCCTTGTTCAAGTTATCTGAACTCTCTAAGCCTCATTTCCTAAATTGTAGTGTGGGTATATGATCAATGTTTGCCTCATAGAGTGGTATGAGTGCAAAATGAGATTATTCATGTAAAACAGTTTTATTAGCACTTTCCCATTAAAGCCATCAATATACATTAGTTATTATCATTTTCGTTAGAACGAATCTAGCTTCTTTCATTCTTTAATGTTCTCCCAATTGACTAGAATAAATTCTAAATAAGGCCACTGACATGAGTTTTCAGAGTTGAGAGACCCAAGGATCCCCACTACTGGAATGCAATAGGACACATTGCAGATACTGGCTATGATAAGTAAGGGGTTTGGTGGTAGAGGGCTGAGATCAATCCCCTTAACATCAGTGGTGATAATTGTTTCATCCCTCTGGGCTAATTTCAGGTGCTGTCACTGAAGTCAAAACAGACATTTATGTGACCAGTTTTGGGCCCGTGTCAGATGTGGAGATGGTGAGTAAGTTCTAAGTGAGTTGGGTGTTTTCATTTCGGGGAGGAGAGTGGAGTCCCAAAACTAATGATAATGGGCATTGCCGCCAAGCTTGGCTCCAGATTCATGACACAATATTTGTATTCATGCTGGGAGGGCATGACCATTAGAATGGATTCCTGGCTTAATCTTCACATTTCACTAAGGGCTTGAACATTTTAAGCTGAGGGACTTTTTAAAATTATGTCCTCTCTTCCATCCACATGCTATGCACTAATTCTTCCCTCCAAAGAGAAGAGATTTTCCCCTTTCTTTGTGAAGCTCCAGCAAATTTATTGGAGGAAGAAAAAAAACACACAGATCTTATTCCATATAAAAGTTTATTGAGTATGTCTATAAAACCTAAAGCATAATTGTCTTTTGTGGCAACATCATTATCAGTATATTTTATTAAAACAGTAAAGAGGTCATTTGGAAAGGCTGATGCTCTCCACCTTTTACATTGAGGATGGACCAGTAGGTGTTCTGGGGACTCTGTTCCAGGTACAGATGGCTGTAGCATTCATAAGAGGGTATTTATAGTAAGTAGCAATGAAAACTTGAACTCATCTTTTAGAACAAAGTGTATCATGGTATTCTTTTACGGTTCTCAGGTGGCATTTCTCTCTAAAACGGAAGTGTAAATATGAATGCTGAAGTAAACATAACTGTCTTTAAAGAGGTTCACCATTAGATTTTATTAAGGAAATGTAATTCTAAAGAAACAGTTATTGGAGACTTTTTCATTTTCTGCTTTTTTAAGTTGGCAAGAAAAGAAGATGTAAAGAAAGGAAAAAGGAAGGAGTAAAGGAAGAAGAGAAAGGGATATGGAGGAAAAGAAAGAAGAAATAAAATTGAAAGAAAAGGAAAGAGGGAGGAAGGGCTTTATTCAAGAGATAATTATCTTACTATATAAGGAGAAAGAGGAGTTAGCAATATTCAGAATCCTGAATTATTTTAGTATCATATTTTTCATTCGTGTTCTAAGCCACTCCAAGTATAAACAACTACAACAATTTGCTATTGAATTGTTGAAGTCTGAGTATACTTAGTGTTCTATCTTATGCTTGTGTCTGTTTTTACAGTTTATTTGTGCAATAGGTCCCTATTATATCATGAGTCATTATTGTATGGATATATTGCTTGTCAAATTATATTTTTAAAATGTAATCACTGCTTGCCATAATACGTTTCATAAAGGAATTTATATAGTAGGCAAAGCAATTATTGGCAATACTTTGATATAATTACAAGTTGTTATTTGTTATTGACTTTTGCAATAGCTCTTATTATAATTCTTAAACATTTTAATGCTATTTCATAAAAGCCACAGATTAAGTCATAATTTTGATGATACATACTTAAATGATACCCTCTTTAGAATAGTCACGGTAACACTTGTTTATATGTTCCCTGAGAACAATATAAAATAATTTTGATGTGCAGCTATAGTGTGTTTATCAAGTAAGGTTTATCTATGTGTGGAATTTTACTGAATGGTACTCTGAAGCTCTGAAATACCTTTGAGGGTGAATGAGGTGCAAAGGGGAATAGTTAGTCTAACCGATGGTATAAAGGCCAGCCAGCACAAAGGCTAAACTAAATATTTCCATATTTTTTTTCTAGATTAAGAAGGACATATTGATAGATGGAAATATGGATGACTGGATAGATAAAGAGGAAGAATATTAAGGAAAGTCAAGGTGGAGGAGGGAAGTTTACATATCACAGCACTATCTTTTATAACAATGCAAACTTTCTGAGTTTGAGAACAATAATAACTAGCTAAAATTATAGCTTTGTGAGAAATTATTGCGATAAAAAGTTGCTTTATTGCTTAAGTTTTGAGATTGGGTGTATAGGCTAGTGAATAAACTATTCTTAGCAAACTATCTTTCCAGCCCACACAAATATTTTATTTTCTCTTAGGAGTATACGATGGATGTTTTTTTCCGCCAGACCTGGACTGATGAGAGGTTGAAGTTTGGGGGGCCAACTGAGATTCTGAGTCTGAATAATTTGATGGTCAGTAAAATCTGGACGCCTGACACCTTTTTCAGAAATGGTAAAAAGTCCATTGCTCACAACATGACAACTCCTAATAAACTCTTCAGAATAATGCAGAATGGAACCATTTTATACACCATGAGGTGAGGTTTCTCCAATTCTATTTCCCCTGCCTAAATGATATGTCCATAATACTAACTCAGAACCGTTGATTTCAATGTTTCTAGGCTTACCATCAATGCTGACTGTCCCATGAGGCTGGTTAACTTTCCTATGGATGGGCATGCTTGTCCACTCAAGTTTGGGAGCTGTAAGTTACAACAGGCTTCTGAGAGTCAAATAATACATCCAAAATATATAATTACTTGGTTTTAGTTGATACTGGAAATCAAGGAAGAAATAGAATCATGACACTATCAGTGTGATTCTAGGAATATACTTAATCATTCTGTCAATCTCATAAATTGAGGCTTTAGTCACCAAGATTAAAGAAAACATTAAATACAATCTATGTTTGTATTTCCTTTTTTATAGACAATGTGCACTTTGAAGGAAAAAAAGACAACTCGTCAAATTCACTGCTATATTTAATTTGTTTCAAATATTTAGATGCTTATCCCAAAAGTGAAATCATATATACGTGGAAAAAAGGACCACTTTACTCAGTAGAAGTCCCAGAAGAATCTTCAAGCCTTCTCCAGTATGATCTGATTGGACAAACAGTATCTAGTGAGACAATTAAATCTAACACAGGTAAGAATTTGACCAAAGGATGGAAATAATCCCTCAGGATGACTCCAGTGCACATTTTCAAAATATCTATTTCTTTTTCCTTCGCCTTAGCCATTCTCAGCTAAGCATGCTGTTTTGCAGTGATGAGTAGCTTTCCTTAAAACTGATTTTGCAACCAGGTGCATATAAAGATTTGTGTAATCTTGGAATAAGTAGTTTTTTTTATGTATATGATATAAAGAACCCTACTGAAAACAATAAGTTGATGTGTCTCTTCGCTCTATCATCTGCTGATCAAGTAGCTTTCTCATATACTGAAATGTACCTTTGCTTGTTTTCTTCCAGTCAATGTTAATTTAAAAGTTGTCAAGATTTATATTCAACTGCATTCTTTTTGCAGACTGTCAGCAGTAATAATACTGATGTATGTGTCTTCCAACAGGTGAATACGTTATAATGACAGTTTACTTCCACTTGCAAAGGAAGATGGGCTACTTCATGATACAGATATACACTCCTTGCATTATGACAGTCATTCTTTCCCAGGTGTCTTTCTGGATTAATAAGGAGTCCGTCCCAGCAAGAACTGTTTTTGGTATATGTCACATTTTGTACTTCACGTACATTCATCCTCCACCTTTCATTGCTTGTGTATTTTGAGTAAATATTTACACTGGTGCACTTTTTCAATCCACAAAGAAAATAGGTTCCTGTCTCATCCAGACATATGTATCATGCAAAATCACTGTCATTATATCACAAATTGTGTGATGAATCAAAAAAAATTTTGTCTCAGTGAGAATTATGGCTGGTTTCCTATGACTTTCATGTGTCCTATTTGCAGTGCTTTATCTTGATTTTCTTTGTCATAACTGAGGAAAAGCAGAAAGTTAAAAACTGCATGTAAATCCATGAAAGCAAAAGATTAAGGTATTGAACACAGTAATACATAGGTTGTATACCCCTTTTATTAGGTTGAACCATATAAAATTGTCATTTCGTCAATTTTTTATGATTCAACCTACATATTTAGTTCCACTTATAGATAGAATCACTACTAATTTTAATAAAACAAAATTAAATAATAAGAAAAAGAGCTTCAACTGGAAACATCAGTGACACATTCCAGTGTTTTTCCTGGGTTTAATGTTTATAAATTTAGTAGTCTCTAAGATAGACCTGAATTGAATAGAAATCATAAATCTTGATTTTTTAAATTTACTAAGTTAAAATAGATTTTTTGAAAATTACAAAAGAATGCCAACATAATGATGTTGACCATCAATATTATACATCTCCTAATAGTATAAATTCCCCAGGCCATAGTTCAAGAAGGAAAACTGCCAGCAAGTGAGTGATAAATTTTATCTTCTAATGAGTAAATATTATACCTTAAAATCTAGCTAGAAACACAAATTAGGTAACCTAATTTTATGCTAATATTTATACCATATTTATTTATTAACTATCATTTAATATGTTAGCTGGTAAAATTGGTCTGAAATTCAAGTTTTTTTTCTTTTTCTTTCCTTTTTTTTTTTTTTTTTTTTTTTTTGAGACGGAGTGTCCGTCTGTCGCACAGGCTGGAGTGCAGTGGCGGGATCTCGGCTCACTGCAGGCTCCGCCTCCCAGGTTCACGCCATTCTCCTGCCTCAGCCTCCGGAGTAGCTGGGACTACAGGCGCCCGCCACCAAGCCCGGCTAATTTTTTGTATTTTTAGTAGAGACGGGGTTTCACCGTGTTAGCCAGGATAGAATGGTCTCGATCTCCTGACCTCGTGATCCGCCCGCCTCGGCCTCCCAAACTGCTGGGATTACAGGCGTGAACCACCGCGCCCGGCCTCAAGTTTTTTTTTCTTAAGTGGTAATAATTTGTTACAAGTTCTCTCAAGCCCTAAACAACTAGAACTATTTACGACTTAAATTTTACAATAACTAGTTCAATTCAGCAAACTCAAAATTTTTTGAGCAGTTATAATGTATGTCACTTCACTAAATATTGAAAGATTCAGAAATGATAATACTTATGATAATAATTATGAACAATTATAATACAAAAAATATTTTTAAAAATGACTTTGCCTTGGTAGAGTTTTTTGTCTTCTCCTCTGACACATTCTCATTTGATTTTGCCATAGGATTCCCAGTACTAATATTACAATTCCTATTCTTTTTTATTTTAGGGATCACCACTGTTTTAACTATGACCACTTTGAGCATCAGTGCCCGGCACTCTTTGCCAAAAGTGTCATATGCCACTGCCATGGATTGGTTCATAGCTGTTTGCTTTGCATTCGTCTTCTCTGCGCTTATCGAGTTCGCAGCTGTCAACTACTTTACCAATCTTCAGACACAGAAGGCCAAAAGGAAGGCACAGTTTGCAGCCCCACCCACAGTGACAATATCAAAAGCTACTGAACCTTTGGAAGCTGAGATTGTTTTGGTAATTGTTTACTTTTTCTATCATTACCTACCGTAGGAAAAAGCAGCCTAAATAGTGATCAGAAACAACGAAAGTGTCCAAAAGTAATGTGAGTTGAGCACAGGTTATATAACTGTAGTTTCAAGAGCAAGGCCAGTTTCTGTTCCAACTTCACAGAGAAAAGCTATGGAACAATCCTTCATTTATCTTTGCTGTAAACTTTGGGCATTCTTCTTTCATCATCCTCACTTATACTGGCAGATTCCAGGCTCTCAGAGGAGACTAGAAAATTCTAAGCCTTTAGATGTTTCTTTTGAACAAAATCACTTGTACCAAGTAGGGGCAAAAAAGTTAAAACAAAATGTTTTTTCTAATGAGGTTTCAGAGTGCAGGAAAGACACAAGGACTTCTATGGAATGGACAATTTTTGTTATAAATCTGCTTGCTGCTTTATTTCAAGAGGGCAAGGCATCTGTGAATAATGAATAATAGATTCTCTGAATGTTGAGTCATAACCCAATAATTTGATTCATATTAAAACATTTTCATATTCACATTTGTATATTAAATATATGTATATCAATGAGTTTATAGTCAATGGCTTACGTTCAGTGAGAAATAGTTATAAATTTTTGTTAAATTTGCTGTGGCTAAGTTCTGGTCCCCAGAGGTTTTTGAATAAGAAACAAATGGTAACATTAATATTTCAAGGGCCATTAATATGCCCCCAGATTTCAATTTTGCATAAAATTAAATTATAACAACAATTAAGCTGAACATACTTATTTTAATGGATAATAAAACTGATTGACAGTCATAAATTTTTATTTTAATACAAATCTTAAAGAGTAGCTGTTAGAAGAGGAATGTTTTGCTCTGTGAATTCAAGTAAGGCAGACACTTTGAACTGAAATTTTTTTTACAACTGATCCATTCTAGTAAGCATTTCCATATCTGAAAACTACACGCAGCCCAGTAATCCTCAGTTTAACTTTATGATAAAAGTTTTAAAGCGATTTGTTTTTTACTTTTCAGAATCTGTGGCACTTGTTGACTGAAAAGGTGATCATTTTCTTATTGACATTTTGTCTTTGATAAACTAAGAAACTTGTTTGAGAATTTATATTTTCTCCAAGAAATGAGAGGCATCCCCATAATATGTAGAAATATATAATTTAAGGATTTTTTATTAGCCCTTATTTAAAAAAATAAAGAAAAAAGAAAAAAATGCCATTCAGTGATCCAGTTTAATTACCTTCTTTTATAAGTGAAAAACACAGTCTAGGAGAGGGAAAATATTAGTTTCTAGTTGGTAGAAAATCTAGGAATTGATTCAAAAACTTTGTATAAGCCGAGTGCAGTGGCTCACACCTGTCATCCCAGCATTTTGGGAGGCTGAGTTGGGAGGATCACTTGAAGCCAGGAGTTAAAAATCAGAATGGGCAACATAGCAGGCTGACCCCCATATCTGCAAAAATAAAAAAAAAAATTGCTCTGTGGTGGTGGCATATGCTTGCAGTTCTAGCTATTCAGGGAACTGAGGCAAGAAGATTGCTTGCATGCAGGATTTTGAAGTTACAGTGAGCCATGATCACACCGCTGAACTCCATCTTGGGTGACACATTTAGATACTGTTTTTGTAATAATAATAATAATAATCAGAAGAAGAAGAAGAACCTTTGAAATCCACAATATTACAGAGACTGAGGCCACCCTTCCCAAGAATTCCCTAAAGACTGAAATATGCCAGGGTGCATACCACAGGATAAAACATTTTAAGAAAGTAGTTGAGTCCCAAAATTCTTCCTTTGACTTAATAATATATTCTTTATGTATCTGTAGTTTGAAAGGTTACCAAAATATAAATTTTGTAACAAAATATCCTAGTCTGCAGACTTGCTCCACAATGTTAAAACCATTTTTTGTCATGATAAATTCCAAATGTTTCTGAGAATTTTTTCATATTAGTAGAAATAAGTGATTCTGTTACAAGGTATCCGTATGCATATAAGTATATAATCTATATATTGTCCATAGGTCATCTATATATTAATATATGTCTATAAATGAAAAAAGTGCTTATCAGGATTCAGCTTACCAGTTTCTTATTTGAGTAAAGTAGTAAGAGTGAAAAAAAAAAAGATCGTCAAAAACAGAAAAAAAAGGATCCATTTTGAATATGCTCATAGATCAGATATTGAAATAAAAACAAAGACCAATTTTTTGCTTTACCTTTTTTGAAATATGCAGTACTGAGAAGAGGATGATTTCAAATCCTTGGAGAAAACGTAATCACCCCCTCAGGCTATTATTTTAAAGATATAATTTATTAATTTAAGATGGAATTTAAGATCTCAGGTTTTGATATAAACTGTCTCCTATAAACCTAAAATAGTAACATATAATGAGTAGGTCCTCTGGGAAGCTAGATTTTAAAAAATGGTATGTAAATTATCTCCAAGTACTTTTTTCCTGCAGGTAGCATTTATTTTTTCTTGTGAAAAATTATATTTCTGAACCTGGTTTTACTTAAAATGTTTTAAAGCAACACATAGGGAAATTTTGATTCTAAAAGGCTGAAGTGTAAAAATAAACATAAAAACAACAATGACCAAATCAAACAATGTAAACCTTGAAGGTATCAAAACTAAATATAGGTGATTACATAGGACATTTGCATTACATTTGTTCGTGTCAAACCTTGGCAAGTTGTCTTATATGATATAGAGGAACAAACATAAATTACACATTTGCAATTTATACTACACAATGGTATATTTTGATTGCAAGACATTTTCTCCCAAATACCATGACATTTAAAAATATCTATTCAGTTGTAATCAAAACAACATTATTTGAATAAGTTTGACATTGAAACAGCAAACTAATGTGGTGAAGTTGAAATGAAATTAAGTGCTTGGATATTTCATGTGATTCTATGTTGTATATTTTAATATGTTCATTGCTTTTCACAAGAAACTACTTACAGTGAATGTGGGTAAAAATTTATTCATTTTATCACTTTGATTCTGACCTTAAAACATGATAGTAATGGAGAAACTCAAGCATTTAAAATCTAGATCTCAAACCCAAAAAGGCACCTTAAAGCTAAATCTTCAGAAATGCTCTATAGACTAATTATCTTTCTGTTTTTAAGACATATGGAATTGGATATTTTATTTTTTATTATTTATTTCTGGAAAAGAAATTGTCAACAGTGTTTTTCCCGCTTATATGGTGATTTTTTCTTATTGTTTTTATCTAGCATGCTACCTTAATATTAGAGAGTTACTTATATCTTCATGAGTTTCAGAGCCTATTAACATGTCTGGAGTATACCTGTACCTATACTGTGTGTAAGACCAACTTTGGTCCTTGATTTGTTTTTGCATAGTTTGCTAGTTTCCTTGTTATTTTAAAGGCCTAAGCCCTTATCACTATGTTCCTGACAGTCAATCACTCACCCATTCCATCTGCAATCCTTTGAGCAGTGTCATTACTCTCAATGTAGCTTCTCTTCTTTACATGGGTGTGATGCCTTTTGTAAATTATATAACATAAAATTAACCAAAATTTCATTAGTCAGGACAATTACTATATTTATGTTGATTGCATTATTTATTCATTTCTTTTTTTTTCTTTCCATCTGGCACCTATTTATTGACTATTTATGCATTCGTTGAATTATTCATACCATATATATTTGATAAGTGCCTTTATGTGCCAGGCCTTTTGTAGAGTGCTGAGGATATATTAGTGAGTGATATCAGAGGGCCTCTTCCCTCATGGAGCTTCTTGTCCAGCAGGAAGTGAGAGAGATCAATGAGCCTTAATAATACCTTGGAATAAAGTCCGTCATTAGAGATGTATAGTGAGCTGCAGAAGAGCCATGCAAAAGTGTCTAACTCAGTCTGGAGAGGTTTTCGTTTCTAGCAGAGTGATGTCTAAGCTAAGAACAAAAAAGAAATTAGCCTGGCTCTGTGCTAGAAACTCTAAACCAGTTGCTACAAACTTGGGCATAGAGAGGGAAATAAGTTATATACCCTTCCTGTGCTCCTTTTTAAGGTGGTAAGGTGCACTGGGCCATTACCATGCTGCTTTCATCTATGTAGAGAGATGTGAAGAATAGAATACTGAAAGGTTTACCTTGCCTACTCCAAATATTGCACAGATTTTTTTTTTTTTTTTTGAAACGGAGTCTTGCTCTGTCGCCCAGGCTGGAGCTGATTTTTTTTGAGTACTGTCATTCCTCCCTACAATTAAGGACTGAATTAAGACCATTAAAGACTCTATGTGCCAGAAAGATCACAGTGCCCTTCTTGGTTGTGCCATTGTATGATTTATGGGGAAGGCAGGATGGATTAGACGAGGGTTGTAGGTGGTTAGCCCCTTCCCCATACCTTCTATCAAATCCCCACCCAATATTTTATTATGAACTCTCCAAACATTCTGATATGTTTTCTAGAGATGTTCCCTAGCACCGTGGATCAATTATTCAATATATTGCTGCCAATAAGCTGTGTGTCTGTAGAAATTCTGGAGTTGTGTCTGTTTTCAACTCTACCAGCTGAAACACAAACACAGGAAAACCCAACAGAGTTCTAATTTTCCCCATAACGATTAATATGATGACTTTTGCAAACTATCAATACTGTTTTCAAAAAAATATTTTCTCTCATCTGTGTTGTCCCTCTTTGCTCTTTCTAAAAACAAATGCTTGGTTGATCCCTTCAGTAAGGCAGCCCTGGTTAGAATATCGTTTTAAATGGTGGGGGTGATAGGTTACCTCTCAGACCTACTGAGACTCATTGAATTACATATAAAAATCTGTCTAAATACTTCCTAAACATCTTTTCCCTCTATCAAATAGTTGATTGTCATAAAGTCCAGTTTGACTTAAAGTACCTTTGCAATATGACATTACTTGAAACAAAGCAGCGCTCTATAAATACCTAAAGCAGGATGGCACTCAGCAGCAGGGGAGCCCTGCAAAAATTCAAAACCACAGGCGTTCCACTCAAAACAGTGACAGCCCCAAGCTGAGCCCTCATCTGGACTCTGACAAAAGCCTATTTTACCATCAGCTGAAGCTGCTATGCTTACAATAGAGCAGGAAGGGACTGAAGCAAACCTGTAGCTTAAACGGCTCACAAAATTTGCTTTCTTTTCATTTCAGAAATTCAGCGTGTTCCTTCTAAACTGATGTCCAATCTCCTTGTTCTGTCAATTGCCAGTTATTTAGCAGCTGATTATCCAGATGTAGAGTAGCCAGGCCTCTTGCATTTCCTTTAGCCTATCATATTTGCTGCCTGTAGAAATTTCCCCAATCACTCCCGGGCAGTGGGACACTTGTGACTCTAAGCCAGTGATTTCCTATGGGGAGCTATTTCCCCCAAGAGACATTGGGCAATGTCTGGAGATACAACTTGAGGTGGAGGTGGCTAATGGTATCATGTTGGTAGAGGCCAGGGATGCTGCTCTACATCCCAGGACACAGAGGATGGTCCTCCATAACAAAGAGTGATTGGCCCCAAAAGATCAGTAGTTCTGAGCTTCAGACACTGTGCCCAAAACGCTAAAGCTGATAGGAAGAATAGCATAATAATTGTTAAGAGCGCGGTCTGTGGCATCAGAGGGAAATTGAATTCAGGTCCTGCCACTCATTATCTTTGTGAGCTTCCTGCTTAAGCCTACGTTTGCTCATCTATCAAATGAAGATAATATGACATTGTGGATTTTTTGAAGAAATTCGTGAAATAATATTTGAAAATTGCCTTGTAATGCTAGTCAACAATAAACATTTAGAACCGGTACTTATAATGTAATATAAAAGTGCATTAAAATACAATGTAACATAATCATAAAACTTTTCATCCCCCTCTTTGCCTACTTCCTCCAACAAATCTTGGGAAATGTTTAGATTTTTTTCATTTGTTGATTCGGCATTTGTTTATTAAAGAAATACTGTGTTTTAAATACTTGCTAGGCACTGTGGAATGCTCATACATATGAATAATGTGCCTTCTACCATTAAAGAGTTTCCATGCTAGGAAAGGAGATAAGCCACAACAAAAATAATTATACCTACAAAACAGAAAATAAGAATATCTACAAGAGTCATAATAACTAGGCAGAAAAATGCATAAGGCTGGAGAAATCAGTGATGGTAGGTGTTAATGAGTTTGGTAGCAAAAGATATGAGGGAAAGATAAAAATGGGTGGCAGGTGGATGTTATTTCAGACAAAGAAGAAATAAAGATAGGTGAGTGGTGAGAATGAGAAGCAGACATATTTTGAAAATGATTTAAAAAATAGATATAGCTAAGATTCCTGAGCAAAAAAATATGTACATATGTATATGTGTATATATATACACATATATATGTTTGTGTATATATCTTTAAATCATGCCTTTTTCTTAAATTCTTAAAAACATAGGAAAAAAGTTACTTGTTAAGTAATATTTGTCCCTACCTTCACAGAAACTTGAAGCTGAGAGAGAATTAGAGCCTATAGCACCTAGGAGGTGTTTAAATTATATTGCACGCAATTAGTAGCTATGAAACTGTAATCTAGGGATTTCCAACTCTCCTTGTTCTCTTAACTCCTAGAAAACCCTCCACAGAGATTGTTTGGGGAAGTAGATGAGGCAAAAGGGAATGCTAATGTAGGAAATCTTTAATTTCAATATAATTTAATTTTAATTTTTTAATTTAGGTAAAATTACAGTATCCATTTTACTACAAATTTTTTGTGGTGTTTGGTTCTGAATGGTACTTCTGACTTCCGGACCATAATTATTTGGGAATCCTCATTCAGTCTTTTGTGACATTGTGACAATGCACAGATTCACAAATGACTGCCCCCACCACATCTCTAAAAAACGGGGAGAATAAGCAAGGCTTTACATTTTTATGGTATTTAATGTTTTATAATCACTGCTTTATTCCAAACAACTAGGCATGTCTTCCCTCTTTCTACCTAAAATAGAAAGAAAAACATGTTTCAGACAGATAATGCATGCTGTTAAAAGTCAAAATGAGTGTAGAAAGAAAATCTGCTCTGAAGGCTGGCTTCTTTCTACTCTATCATGATTCTCATAAATGTTTGCTAGAGGAAAGTATTTTAGTGTTCCATATGTGGGAGGAGGATGGCTCTTTTTAGAGGGTGAAACAGTGACACCTTTTGCTCTTTCAGGTAGAGAATATTTTAATACTATATTTAATAGGTGAAAATTTAGAGTCTGAGAAACATGATAGAAAATTCTTGAAAATGGTTCTGTGTTCTCTAGGAGAGGCAGCATGCACTGAGACAGTTACTCTGCTTCTATCCACACACAGCCTGGTGATCCTGGGCATAGTAGTCCTCAGCTGTCATCTTTTTTTTTTTTTTTTTTAATGCAGTCTTGCTCTGTCCCCAGGCTGAAGTGCAGTGGCCACCATACCAGCTAATTTTTGTATTTCTAATAGAGACGGGGTTTCACCATGTTGGCCAGGCTGGTCTTGAACTCCTGATGTTGTGATCCACCCACCTCCGCCTCCCAAAGCTGGGATTACAAGCATCAGCCACCATGCACAGCCCATCTATTTTTAATAGAAAGTTTCCCTCATCTCCTCTTCAAGAGCAGCATACTAGCCCTTCTAATATCTTAAACTCTCTTCTACCTCTAAGACCTATGACTAATTTAATTCTGTCCAGAGTACCACAGTACTGGGCCAATAGATAATAAGAAAGATAGCCCTTGCTTGGAATTCACTGTGGTTTTTTCAAATCAAATCTTGACTACACCATTTGTTTTTGCTTTTGGTAAAGAAACACATTTCTCCATGGCCCCTAAAAACAGTGAATTTAAGCTCTCTGCAATAACTATTATTATTTAGATACCCAGTAAGTTTCATGGCAAATCAAACAGCAAAATCAAGAGGAGAATATAGAAAAGAAGTTTTGGGAGTTGTTGTCCCTTTAGTCCAAATGTCACCACATCGGCAGGTCATTTTGGTCCTGTGGCTCAACCAGCACAGGGGAGGAAGCTGTCTTATACTGTTGCCGCAGTGTTGCTGGCTAAAGCCACGGGAGTTTGCCCACGTGGGTCACATACCCTGCCAGGCAGCAAAGTGGTGATTTTGCTGCCAGCAAGGAAACAAGGCCATTTTACAATATCAGGGGTAATGCACAGCAAGTGTTTGAAGGCAGAGGCCCAGCAAAGACAAGCTAGCCACAAGGAGGGTGTTTGTTACAGGATGCAGACAAGAAAAGATAGGAATCAGAGGAGGGCCCCCTAGACACCAACGGCATGAAAGGAATCTAAATCAAACAGAATCAGAGTCTCTGAACTAGGCCCAATACTTTAGAATAAAGATGAGAAAAATGTTGGAATGAAACAGGCACTGAAATTGACCATTGGAGTTTATTGCTAGCCCTGCCATCATGGAGAAGGCATTTCCCCTATCTGGACCCTAGCCTCACTTGCCAGTGATTGTGTTAAACATCCCATTCAAGACTATAGTTGATTGTGTCATGATTTCAGTGAGACAGGAGGTTTAGAGATAGAAAGGAGCATATAACAAGTCTGAGTTTAGTAAATGAATCATTTTTAGTGACTGAAGATAGAGAAAGACCAGTTAGAAAGTTCTGAGCGGGAAGTAAGGAGTGTACAATATAGAAATTCTGAGCTAAGAGGCAGCTATATTTCAAGGTATGAACAGTCATCCTACTCAATGTAAGGATATTTATTCTTTGTCACTGGCCTTTGGCATACATAGGCTAATTTTATTTATTTTTTAAATCCTTAAATCATAGCTGATTCAAGCTTATGAGTGTGCAAAGATGAGAATGTAGGCTGGGAATGTGTACAGAAGAATGGCGTCAATAAACCAGGCTGTAATTTTTTTGTACTAATTGTCCACATATTCCAAATTGGAATTCACCCCTCCTCCCAATACACACTATTGCCCAAACCCATTGCCCTACAGACTAATGCACAACCAGGAGTGGCTAGGCCTCTGCAACCTGGCTCGTCTTTCCCTAAGGATACAATGCTTACCGTAGTTCTATGACATGAAACATGCTTTGTGTTGTTTGCTGATGTATTGAGTAATAGAATGTCAGATGGAAGCAAGTAAATTATTTTACAATGTATTTTAAGCCTTACTTGGAAAAGTAACACCAACAAATACTATTAAGAATTCATTGATGTTTGACCTTACATAGAAAGTAAGTCGTCAATAAATATTTGTCAATGGTGAAAGAGTGAATAAATAAGCAATTAAGCAATATCTATTCTTTCATTTGGGCTTAATATTTGTCTTTTTTCCACAGCATCCTGACTCCAAATATCATCTGAAGAAAAGGATCACTTCTCTGTCTTTGCCAATAGTTTCATCTTCCGAGGCCAATAAAGTGCTCACGAGAGCGCCCATCTTACAATCAACACCTGTCACACCCCCACCACTCTCGCCAGCCTTTGGAGGCACCAGTAAAATAGACCAGTATTCTCGAATTCTCTTCCCAGTTGCATTTGCAGGATTCAACCTTGTGTACTGGGTAGTTTATCTTTCCAAAGATACAATGGAAGTCAGTAGCAGTGTTGAATAGCTTGCGGCCAGGACAACCTGAATTCTATAAGTTCTTGTTTTCTGTTTCCTATGTTTTCTTAAAAAATAGCATTGAGACTTGTGTAGATGCTTCTCAGAACATGAAATCAAATTGGAAATCTGTAACGCAGCTTCCGTAAGCATGTGTGGGCAAAAAAGCAATAATCCTACTCCTCAAAATAGAAAGTTGAAGATTGCTGAAAAATATGACTTTTCTGTATGTTAGAGAAAAACTTTATGAGGATGAAATGGGTTCAAGATGAATTTGTCAACTTTTGTCTTCCATTGTTCAGTATTTTTAATTGTCACTGTAAATAACATTTACCACAAGGCAGATAAAATAAGAAATGCTGACACTTCCAAAGGTTGCCTTAAAATATGTTTATTTTGGCTTAGTTCCCGAGAGGGCAAAATATAAATACAGTCTAAATATTTATCAGTAGGTTAATACCAGCATGTTGGAGGCCTTTATGCTAGTAAAATGGCTTTCAGTGGCATTGTAAAGCCTACATTGAGCTTAGCCATTTGTTTTTAACCTCGCTGTGCTCTTTTACCTCAATAAAATGTGGTGTTTGTATACATATAAATTATACATAGCTCATAAATTATGTATGCATATGTACATAGCTGTAGTTGGACTAAAATTCAGTGTGTTTTATCCTACTAAATTCTCCTTTTAAAATAATACACTTACCATAATTCTATGAGGTTGTAGAAAAAAGTACTCATTATAAGGAAGCCTTGTATATTATGACTATGGTTATCTCTTGTGTTTTCCACATTTCCAATTATAACACTAAATAAAACAACAATAAACATGGTTCTCTGGATCTGTCTCATACAACTAGAGAGAAACCTTCTTTAGGTGTGAAGAAGTGAAGTGGTTACCTCTACCCCAATGTTATTGCCCCTGGTGAGAGGTAGGAGAAATGGGACAACCAGGCTCAGTTACCTAGTGCTGATAAAAGATTTGAATTTATATTCAAATAGTTAATCTTTCCTCTATTCCTGCTCAATCAACAATGAAAAATGAATAAGACTACTCTTCTCCCTTTCCATTACTCCCGTTCTTTCCTGATGCTTCACTCTAACAGTATTTCTCCCACACAGAATTCTTATAGGGAAGTAGGAACTAAGAGTAGGAGAAAGCATGTGGTGTGATTTGTTGAAATGGACAAACCCCTCATTAGATGTTCCTGGGTCTTAAACATCATAGAGATCACCTTGAGACCAGAACCCAGAAAAAAAAATTTGAATACTACTACTGTCTTATTTTTACCCAGAAAAATGCAAACATACTACAGCTAAACAACTTGAAGTTTAATTGAAACAGCACTCTACTAAGTGTGAGGAGACTGAGGTCTCTGTGCAACTTCTGTATCATTTAGCTCCTTGGCCCAATATCTTTGTTTTGGGGAGACTCAGCTTTATTCTCATCTATAGAATGAGGGAGCTGATTAGATGCTCTTCAAAGACCCTTTCATTTTGAACCATGTACGTTTGTTTCATAATTATTATTTTCTGTCTAAATAAAATTGGTATAATTATACAGGGTATATTAAATAATTAAATGTCAGGTGGGTGTTAATCATCTTATATGCTAGGTCTCATTTAATCTACCTCACAAACCTGTAAAGAATATACTGCTATTATCTCCATTTAAAGATGAAGAAACTAAGGCTCAAAGAAGATGAATAATTTTGTTCAAAATCAAAGAGCACTCAAGTGCTATAGCTGATAATCAAACCCAAGCGATGTGAATCCCTAGCTTTTTCATTTAACCATACCTATAGATGTCCTCATCTAATATGATATGACCCTATTCTTTTATCCCTTCTTCTATTCTCTAGCATTGTTTCACTTGTATGCCACTTTTTGTAATAATTGTCCTGGGGTTCTGACATCACCTGTGCCCCTCCTCAACATTCATTCTACATCTCACTCATTACGCTCAGTCAGCATTTATGCTTAGAGCTGGAACAGATAGATAAAATCAAGTAAATAATTATAGACCTTATGTTCCTCCCCTACGAAGGGATCTTTCAAGAACAAAACTTTATACAATTATAAAACTTTCAAATTCTCAGGATTCCAGAGAATGCTGTTTCTCAATGTATGTCATGGGATGGTAATAGTGGTTAAGTGAAAATAAAACAGTTTCCTTAGTTAAAAAACTGGAGGAGAGATGTTGAGTCAAGGTGAGACAAATGTCTTTTCTGCTGGACTTCTCACAGCCATGATGATACTTATGTGCACTATAAATCTCTAATACTGTAACATTTCCCAAATTCATATAACTCTAAGTATCATTTTGCACGGAGGAAATCCTGGGAGTGGCATTTTCCAGAAAACAATTTAGAAAACACCACATAAGATTCTATTTATTCTATTCCCTCTGAGGAGGGGCTCATCAGAGCAAAGTCTCAGATCTCTGTGGTTTGTCCATGGCTGCTGAAATCTCAGGAGCCTGAAGGAGAACAATTGTATATTTGGGCTCAGCTTCTTGAAGAAGGGCTGCTTGGCTGAAACTGTTAACTCTGGGAGGACACAATGAGGCTGGTTCTGGGAATGAAAAAAACTGGAGACTGAAACCAACTGTTGTCACAAGGTGAAAGGTAACATCGAGAGAAAAAGCAAGTCAATGAAAGAGATAAAATTCCTTTCCTTTTCCTCCTGTCTTTCTGTCTCACTCCTCTGCTATCAGCAGAACCTCACAGAAATCCTTGTGTCAGAGAAAAAATGAAAAGTACAGAGTTCCAGCCCAGGCATCAAGAAATAGAGTATAGAGGTTGGATATAGAGCTGACAGATAATTGCTTACTAACTAGCACAGCTTGCCCCTTTGTTTATTCAGTACCATACACACACTTTTGTATATATTAATATTTATACTGTTTCACAGCAATAAGATGCAAGTATCCTTCATACAAACAAATATGCTCTCATCATTTGTCCAAAAAGGAGGTATACAAAAATCCCAACAGTTACAGTATCCATCTCTAGGCAATCATCACATCTATTTCTGAGTGATGCTATTTACTCTTTGACAACCACAGTCCCACCAGAATATTCTGTTTCCTAAAGACTCAATTACAAAATATTGTATTAGTCTGTTCACATGCTGCTAATAAAGGCATATCATAGACTGAGTAATTTATAAAGGAAAGAGATTTAATTGACTCACAGTACCACATGGCTGGAGGGCCTCCCAATCATGGTGGAAGATCAAGGGACATCTTCCATGGCAGCAGGCAAGAGAGAGCTTGTGTAGGGGAACTCGCCTCTATAAAACTGTCAGATCTCATGAGATTTACTCACTATCATGAAAACAGCACAGGAAAGACCTGCCCCCATAATTAAATTACCTCCCACCAAGTCCCTCCCACAACACGTGGGAATTATGGGAGCTACAATTCAAGAACAGATTTGGGAGGGGACACAGACAAACTGTATAAAATATCTAAGATAAAAAAACTTTATATAAAATAGTAAGGTGACAGCAAAAGGGGGATAAAAAAATGAGACCTTTTAATATATGCAAAGGCAAATATATCTAAATATCTATTTGACAATTGTGCATATATAGCTTTATCTATAAAAAGGATAATCAGTGAAGAGTAAGATTTGTATAGGCGCTATAGTCTTCATGGCTGTAGTTGATATTTACAAATTCCTTCTTCCACTAGCCTTTTCTCTTAGTATCTTAGCTGGTTGAATTGAAGTTCTTTACCTGGCAGAGTTACTGAAGGGTCTTAATCCATAGTCTTGTCAGATCCAGGAAGAGGGATTCCTTTCACTAGCAAGAAAATCTTAGAAATTCTTGAGTGGTAAGATTCTCAGTATTAACTGAGTCCACTCAGATGTCATCATACAAGTTTCAGCCTCATTGTTCTTCACAATTCAGGTCCTGAAATTTTCCTAAGTGGCATAGCAAGTGCAAGATTTCAATTTATATTGGAATTCTACAATTAGCACAAATAAAATATGCATCTGCTTTTTAAAGAGAAGACAGTCCTGCAGCTACAAAAACTAAGAAATTATTTTGGCTGCCATAGGAGCGCTTTTGTTCTTTTTTCATTCAAACTGAGAACTAAAAGTGCCAAACTCACACTTCTCTGTCTGTAGATTCTCCAGTCAGAAGAGGACATCCCACCCACAGTTTTTGTAGTCATCATAACTGCTATAATAATTAAGTGTAGAAGACTTAGTGTCTTTTACTGCACTATAATAAACTAGAAGTGATTTTAATTAACTGATGTGACTTGATGTCATGAATTACTAGTATCTCATTTCCCATTTGCAAGGAAGTCAGTATTTCATTAAAAGCCATAGACATGACCAAATATATCCTAGAATCTCTTGGTATCAAGTGCATTCAAGACAGAAAAATAGCTACCGTTCTTAAGACTGGGGCACAAGAGAAGAAAGGAGTTGGGATTATCTTCTTGGGGGAAGATCCCCAAGAAGCTGGGGCCCAAACCTTTAAGAAAGAAGTAATGGCCGGGGGCCTGGTGGCTCACGCCTGTAATCCCATCACTTTGGGAGGCTGAGGTGGGTGGATCACGAGGTCAAGAGATCGAAACCATCCTGGATAACATAGTGAAACCCCGTCTCTACTAAAAATACAAAAAATTATCCAGGCATGGTGGCGGGAGCCTGTAGTCCCAGCTACCCGGGAGGCTGAGGCAGGAGAATGGCGTGAACCCGGGAGGCGGAGCTTGCAGTGAGTCGAGATGGTGCCACTGCACTCTGGGACTGAGCAAGACTCCGTCTCAAAAAAAAAAAAAAAAAAAGAGAAAGAAGTAATATCTGTATTAGCCTAATGAGGCTAATCCTGGAAATATAATAAGAATTTAGAGCCCGAAACAACTGCTGCTGCCGGGATGGAGGGCCATTATCAGGACGGTCCTCATGCAGGAACAGCATTAGGATGAATCAAAGAAGTCTTTTCTTCCCTTTTTCTCCTGCCTTTTTATCTCCCTATCCTGCCTTCTATTCTCAGAACTGAGTAGGAAGCATCTGAAAAGGAGAAATGAAAGCTGTGCAGATCAGCACCAGCATTACAAAGTAAACTATAGAAGCACCTATAAGAGACAATACCTTAAACACAAACACACCCTGAGACCTGAACTATTTGGGCATCCAGTGTAAATCTTTTAAAATGCTTCCTTAATGGTTGAATTTCAGGAGCCATAATCTGTTGTAAGAGCCATACAGGAGAAGACACACTTTTTGTCATAAAGTACTTACTGGTTAAAAATTCATTTCCATATGCTACATCAAATGAATTTATTATGTAAATTCCTTAGAACAGTGTTTGCTATATGTAATAATTACTGACAATATCATCATCATTCATCCTATATCCTAGCATTAAGCATTGATACGCAATTGATACAATAAAGATTAGAAGCATTTCGTGTCAGATTTGTGAAATATGTAATCATGAATGAACTTGCTTAAAATAAAAATGAGCTAATACAAAAATAAAACAACTGCTATTATACCAGAAACAAAGCAAAGCAAAAACCCAAATCACTGCTGAAATGGTTGAGTTGTGTGCAATGCTAGTAACCAAATGGGTACATTTTAAAGAGCTTCTCACAAAATTTCACTATTTGATTATGTTTCATTGTTTAATAATGTCCTTAGCCCACAATTTTGGCAGTCTAGTGCTTTCTGTTCCAGAAAAATCGATAACAATTATTGTTTTAAATCTTCCAGAACCTGGGTTTCATTCATCTTTCTGACTGCATGTGTTAGTGAGCATTTGAGTAAATACTGAGGGAAAACCTGAGCATATTTCTCCAATTACATAATGCTTGTTTGAATGGGATTCTTCAAAACTAGACTCTTTACATACAGAGTCAGAAAGATAATATGCACATATCTATTCTTAGCATTTCTTAAATTAGATTGCTTTCTTTTCAGTGATTACAAAATAAATTGACAAGACTATGTTCTTGCATAACTTCTACATTTTTGTTCTAATTGCACACATTAAAATCCCATAATTTTGCTACTATTCTGGGATTATTTCTTCTTCTTGTTTTGGTGGTGGTTTATTAACTTGTTTTCAATGTCTAACCTTAACATTTATCCAAATGTTTATGTAGCAATCCCTCACTTTCATTTGCAGTTCACTTTTCTTAATTTCTCAGAAAACCAATTATGTTATACTCAGGCCAGAATCTTCCCAACTCTTGCCACCATCTCCAACTGTAGAACATAGTCAAAATAAATAAACCAAAAAAAAAAAAAAGAACTGAAACACAAGCATTTTATTCACAGTAGTCCCTACATCCTCATTCAAAGATTACTCACTCATATATTAAATCTAGTTCAGATAGTTTATTTGTTTCTTAGCCCAAACTGGATAAGAGGAATAAAATATAAAGAAATAGGGGGGCTTTAGAATCAGAGCAGAAGTAGAAATGACAGCGTATGAGAAGTAGTAAGACAAAAGAATATAAACATCAGGTTCAAAATTATGGACTCATTTTTGCATTGGGGGCATACAGCCCTCCATTATAAAAGTAAAATGGTGCAGTCTTAATGGCCTGATGCCATCAGTGCACTGTAATAGATCCTCAGTCTGGATCAGGAAATCCACAGGGAATCACTTACTTCTCAGGGCCTTCAACCCTATATCTTTATACTTTGGGAGTTTGATTTAATGACTTCCAAAATCCTTTTAGAATCTAAATTTATATTATTTTATAATAATTTTATAAAGAGTTTTCAGTGACATTTAAAATGTCAGAATAGTGACACCTTTTAAAATATTTCTACTAAAATTATTAAAGTCAATGAAAGTAGTTTATTCTTAATGTTAATAAATTAACTTGTGATTTAGCATGTGTCTGAAATTTTTCCATGTTTATATATATTACTTGGTTTAATCTTTACAACATTTCTATCAAGTAGATTGCATTGATGCATATTGTACAAATGAGGAAACTGAGGCTCAGATGGGTGGTGTTAATTGCATAATATATCATGGTCAGAAAAGGTCCAGAACTTATTTTTTTCTTCTAGAAAACTTTGTACTGTTTCCCTAAATAGCATAGGTAATTTTCTGTTTTACAGAGGCCCAGACAACTAGAAATTTTCTGGTTTTCAAAATTGGACATGCAGCTGTTGCTATTCCAACCATGGTCAGTGGTTAGGAGCATTGCTCCTGACCTTGGCTATGTGCAGCTGTAGATTCTGCTGTTGTACTAGGTGGCCCAAGTTTCTGCAGAAATATTCAAATGATTGAATGTGATTCCCACTCTAAGCCACCGCTGGACTTCAATACCCTCTTATTACTAAGGGCTTGCTGATATATGGAAAGTTTTTTTCTCTCTCTTTTTCAATATGACTATTTACTTATTTATTTTTTGAAAAAGCATGGTATTTCTATGTATTTTGAGTAAAGAAGTATGCACATATATTCACCCATGACATCTTGATCATAAGTTATTATCTCCTTTCTTCAAGAAGTTATGCGAGAGTGGAAATAACACAAAAGAGGTAACATTTCATAGCAGTGAGCAAGGGCTATAAAGATGGTCTTAAACACCCAAATACTTTCTAAATACGCCATCTTAGACAAGTTACATAAACTCTACTAACCATGGTTTTCTCATCTATAAACTAGTGATAATAATATTAGATTGGTGCAAAAATAATTGCGGTTTTTTGCCATTAAAAATAATGGCAAAAACCGAAATTACTTTTGCACCATCAATTAATACTTCTTAGCTTATTGGGCTGTTGTGAGAATTAAATGAATAAATATATATAAGTATATAAAATAGCCTCTGACATATAACAAGTTGGAAAAAAAGTTATACTTCTTAGCTTAGTGGGCTGTCGTGAGAATTAAATGAATAAATATATGTAAGTATGTAAAATAGCCTCTGACATATAACATGTTGGAAAAAAGTTATTATTTGCTGTGTCAGAACTACCTCTTATTAGCCCAGTGACAATTAGAGATACCTGAACACTACACATTGGGATTTATTTTTCTTTACTGCTCTAGTGCCTAATGCAGTATCTGGTATATTATAGATACTCCATGTTTATTTTAAATACATCTCATTTACTTTCTCAAAGATTTTTTTCATCTCTAGTGGACCCAAAATACCACTTTTGCCTACTTGAATGGGTTATTACAACTCATATAATATGTTTGCTTTTATAAAGCCTGTTGAGGAATATATCATTAAGATACTTGCCTCACACTTTAAAGACAAAGAGACAGATCACATGACTTGCTCACAGTCAACAAAGAAGGGGAGAGCCAGAATTTGAATCCAAGTCTGTCTTGTGTCTGCACTAGAATGCTTTGTTGCTTTTCTCAATTATCCTATGCATTACAAATTCGTTTGTGAGAAGGGGCTTAGAATACTGAGAAGCATTACTTGAACATAAGGCACTTGTTTATGTTAGCGAATTTGTAGCAGTACTCTCTTAAGAACAAATTTCCCTCATTGAATCATGCACCCTCTTTCTGCTTATGAGTCTATTTTAGATATTGAGAAGCAATATGTAGGGGAGAGTAGATGAAGGTGGAGTACTCTTGCTATTGCCCCACAGACAATCCAAATGGGTCTTTATCTAGTATATGCACTATTCATACTGTTTCATCTTTCTAGTAATTGTCCATCTACTGGCTCTTATCTCATTGTTATTATCAAAAACAGATTTAGATCAGACCATTAGGAAACTCATTAGCAGGTCACATTGGAGAAAAAAACTCACTAACACATTTGTAAAATTATCTATGAATTTAGTATTGCCATTTATCACCAGAATGCTTCAATGTACTAGGTTGAAAAATAAGGATACCAAAACTCCTTTATTATAATTGCAAGGATTAAAATGTAAAATACAGAGATTCTTTTATAGTGCCTGACACATATTAAGAGCTCAATAAACTATAGCACATTGGGAATAGCAATTGAGATGAAGTATGTAGTTTTTTTAAACCAAAGTACCCATAGATAAATCAATGTCAAAGAAAGTGCCACATTCTTCATATATTAAGCAAATATTAAATAGGGAATCCTTTCCCCATTGCTTGTTTTTCTCAGGTTTGTCAAAGAGCACATAGTTGTAGTTATGCAGCGTTATTTCTGAGGGCTCTGTTCTGTTCCATTGATCTATATCTCTGTTTTGGTACCAGTATCATGCTGTTTTGGTTACTGTAGCCATGTAGTATAGTTTGAAGTCAGGTGGCGTGATGCCTCCAGCTTTGTTCTTTTGGCTTAGGATTGACTTGGCGATGCGGGCTCTTTTTTGGTTCCATATGAACTTTAAAGTAGTTTTTTCCAATTCTGTGAAGAAAGTCATTGGTAGCTTGATGGGGATGGCATTGAATCTATAAATTACCTTGGGCAGTATGGCCATTTTCACGATATTGATTCTTCCTACCCATGAGCATGGAATGTTCTTCCATTTGTTTGTATCCTCTTTTATTTCATTGAGCAGTGGTTTGAAGTTCTCCTTGAAGAGGTCCTTCACGTCCCTTGTAAGTTGGATTCCTAGGTATTTTATTCTCTTTGAAGCAATTGTGAATGGGAGTTCACTCATGATTTGGCTCTCTGTTTGCCTGTTATTGGTGTATAAGAATGCTTGTGATTTTTGTACATTGATTTTGCATCCTGAGACTTTGCTGAAGTTGCTTATCAGCTTAAGGAGATTTTGGGCTGAGACAATGGGGTTTTCTAGATATACAATCACATCATCTGCAAACAGGGACAATTTGACCTCCTCTTTTCCTAATTGAGTACCCTTTATAAATGGTGCTGGGAAAACTGGCTAGCCATATGTAGAAAGCTGAAACTGGATCCCTTCCTTACACCTTATACAAAAATTAATTCAAGATGGATTAAAGACTTAAACGTTAGACCTAAAACCATAAAAACCCTAGAAGAAAACCTAGGCATTACCATTCAGGACATAGGCATGGGCAAGGACTTCATGTCCAAAACACCAAAAGCAATGGCAACAAAAGCCAATATTGACAAATGGGATCTAATTAAACTAAAGAGCTTCTGCACAGCAAAAGAAACTACCATCAGAGTCAACAGGCAACCTGCAAAATGGGAGAAAATTTTCACAACCTACTCATCTGACAAAGGGCTAATATCCAGAATCTACAATGAACTCAAACAAATTTACAAGAAAAAAACAAACAACCCCATCAAAAAGTGGGTGAAGGACATGAACAGACACTTCTCAAAAGAAGACATTTATGCAGCCAAAAAACACATGAAAAAATGCTCACCATCACTGGCTATCAGAGAAATGCAAATCAAAACCACAATGAGATACCATCTCACACCAGTTAGAATGGCAATCATTAAAAAGTCAGGAAACAACAGGTGCTGGAGAGGATGTGGAGAAATAGGAACACTTTTACACTGTTGGTGGGACTGTAAACTAGTTCAACCATTGTGGAAGTCAGTGTGGTGATTCCTCAGGGATCTAGAACTAGAAATACCATTTGACCCAGCCATCCCATTACTGGGTATATACCCAAAGGACTATAAATCATGCTGCTATAAAGACACATGCACACGTATGTTTATTGCGGCACTATTCACAATAGCAAAGACTTGGAACCAACCCAAATGTCCAACAATGATAGACTGGATTAAGAAAATGTGGCACATATACACCACGGAATACTATGCAGCCATAAAAAAGGATGAGTTCATGTCCTTTGTAGGGACATGGATGAAATTGGAAATCATCATTCTCAGTAAACTATCGCAAGAACAAAAAACCAAACACCACATATTCTCACTCATAGGTGGGAATTGAACAGTGAGAACACATGGACACAGGAAGGGAACATCACACTCTGGGGACTGTTGTGGGGTGGGGGGAGAGGGGAGGGATAGCTTTAGGAGATACACCTAATGCTAAATGACGAGTTAATGGGTGCAGCACCCCAGCATGGCACATGTATACATATGTAACTAACCTGCACATTGTGCACATGTACCCTAAAACTTAAAGTATAATAATAAAATATATATATAAAAAAGCAAATATTTATATTCATATCAAGTGCAATCATTAAGTTTAAAAGAGAGCCTGCATAGACAGGGGCATGCTAAACACACGCAAACTTATCAAATATGATGACCATAAATTATGTATGTCATGCTCTCACAGCTTCATAGATTGATTTGCAATTCAATACACATCATATGCAAGGTTTTCTGTATTTCCCCTTTTTATAAACATATTTTCCATTATTTACCTGAAATGTAAACTTCATCCATTCATCATGAGCATTTATCATGTCCTAAATCTATACTGAAATTTAAAAGAAAAAAATAATATATACCCTATGACCTCAAGGAACTCAGTCTAGGGAAAAGAAACATCAGCAGATAATTAGAATCCAGGAAAAGAAGTGCTAATAGAGATATTTACAACACAATATGGCACTAATGAAGAAGACATTAGTAGTTGAGTGCCATACTCTGCTGGGGCGTTAAGCAACACAGGAAGAGAAAGTGATCTTTATCAAATTGGCTCACTCCCCAAACTTGTTCATTTTGTAGTTCTCAATGGAAACTATTGCAATAGAAGTTAACAGATACAGAGGCAGAGTAGGCATATCCACATGCCAATGCCTATGCACGCCTTATCCATGGCCCAGTCCAGAGGAGGAGAAAAAGAAGAGCAATGGAAAATTGAATCAAAGAACATTAGTAGCAGAAAAAAAAAAAAACAAAAAAAAACTCTTCTGGTAGGTCTGTGAAAAAAGAAGCACACCACTCTATTTCTTTTAAATCCCCTGTTCTTCCCTCTTTTATTCTCCATACAAGTATTTTGAATGTATTGCTTTGTTTATCACCAATGGTTTGACAAATTAGAAATAAATAACTCAATTATAAAACTTAAAAAGATGAGGGACTAGGTTTTGGCCAAGTCTATAGAGTTCTTCAGTGGTAGAGTCAATATTCAAACTCAGGTCTATCTGTCTCCAAATACTTTTGCTTAATCACTATACTACACAGCTTTAATGTATTGAAAAATGAGAGAGCAGGACCACATTATTACCAGGGTCATTTCCAGCTCTAGCACTCTATGAATCTATATATACCTAAAACCTCTAAAGAAAGTCTCAAACTTTATTTTTGCCCTATCCATAATTCTCTTCTTCAATGGAAAACAAAATAATAAGGAAGTGACACCTATTGAGATATATGCTTTGCACAGACATTTCTGCAAACTTAAGGAAGTGTTAGAACATTGGAATATAAAACATCTAGTCATTGTTTCCATTGACACTTTTCCTTTTAACTGATAAAGACTGGTATTAGGCATAATGACAATAAAATTATTTCAAGTTTGTACAATGCATCTAAGAAATTAAAATATTAACAGAGTAATTTAATTATCAACTTTTATAAAGGAAAAAATGAGGGACAAAAAACTTAAAGAACTTGGGCAACAACACACAGTAAATTAATGGAAGAGCCGATAAGCTCATGAAGGCTGGTAAAGTCAATTTAGTTATTAAATTCTTATTTATTCGGAAAACTAAGAGCTTGAATGCACTAAACTGTAGTACAGAATTACATTTCTTGATATATCAAATTCATAAAATACAACTGAAGACAATATATTTTTGACCACATGAAAAGAACATATGCGGTTCTTATTGCAATACTTTACCATGTTCTAGACAAAGGGCAATTAATGTTAAAAATAAAGCTGTGAGAGATACCTCTCAGAGTAAAATATAGCATCTTTATTCATCAAAAAATGCCAGCAACTTAACTTCCTCAAGGGGACATTATGATAATTAATTGAATCATGGCTAGAGAGTTGTTTATTTTAAAAAAAATAAAACCTGAATACCTTAAGTTATCATCATGATTTCACCACAATTATCTCCAATTTTTTCCCTTTCTTGATTTAAATTTCAATAGCATTTTTTGCTTCTTTGAGAAAAACAGAAAATCACTGATTGCTAGAGCACAATCTGTTTTAAGAGGTTATGAGAAGGGGCCTGGCACAGTGCCTCACAGCACTTTGGGAAGCTGAGGTGGGTGGCGGATCACTTGAGGTAAGGAGTTTGAGACCAGCCTGAGCAACATGGTGAAACCCCGTCTCTACTGAAAATATAAAAATTAGCCAGCCATGGTGGCATGTACCTGTAGTTCCAGCTACTTGGAAGGATGAGGCAGGAGAATCGCTTAAACCTGGAAGGCAGAGGTTGCAGAGAGTTGAGATCGTGCCACTGTACTCCAGCCTAAGACAAAGCAAGACTTTGTCCAAAAAAAAAAAAAAAAGGTTATGAAAAGGATAAAAAGATGCAAACTTAATTTTGTTCAACTTTATTCCCCAGAATAAGTGTACTTCCGCTGTTTGGCAGCTGTACCTCAAAGGATTCAGCAGAGACCAACACTTCTATCTGATATTAAAAAAAACATGGCCGGGCACAGTGGCCCACGCCTGTAATTCCAGCACTTTGGGAGGCCGAGGCGGGTGGATCACGAGGTCAGGAGATCGAGACCATCCTGGCTAACACGGCGAAACCCTGTCTCTACTAAAAGTACAAAAAATTAGCTTGGCGTGGTGGCGGGCGCCTGTAATCCCAGCTACTCCGGAGGCTGAGGCAGGAGAATGGCGTGAACCCGGGAGGCGGAGCTTGTAGTGAGCCGAGATCGCGCCATTGCACTCCAGCCTGGGGGACAGAGCGAGACTCCATCTCAAAAAAAAAAAAAAAAAAAAACCTGAAAACCAGAATATTAAATTGACTTACCCCAAGTTACACTCTTGATTGGTGTACCCTTGACTTCTAGTCCTCTCATTCTATTAGATTGTTCAATGTTTCTCTCTTCAGTCTGTGAGCATTTTGGGTTTAAGTGCTCATAGAAGCATAAGGATATATTTTACTTTCAATATATAAGAGGAATGCCCTCTGGAACAGATGTTGTTTCTGATACATGAAACAAACAAACAAACGAAATACCAAAAACATTTAGATTAACAGTTGACGTATGCAGGAGCTCACTAACTTCAGGGCTTATCTATAGCATGAAGATTGTTCAACTGATAACTCTTGATCAGAATATGTCCATAATTAGAATTACCACAAGAGAATGCCAGTCATGAATCCACTCACAGAAATGTGAAAAACACTCTAGACCTCTAGACTATGGTAGGAAAAGAGAAAACATACTTACCTGATAAAGTAAAATTTATTAGGACATAACCAATGTAGCTAACCAGTTGTTTTGAACTCAGATAAATGATATCAATTATTTCTTTCTAAATTAGATTAAAAAATAAAGTTCATATTGGATATTTACTATGATGCCACAACTAAAAAATTAATGTTTAAACTGACTTTAAAAGCATTAAATCAATGGGTATAAAGGTTCTTTGGTTTGTAACTTAGTTAGCTCAGGTAATCATAACAGGATACCATAGACTAGTTGACTTAAACCACAGAAATGTATTTCTCGTGGTTCTGGAGGCTGAGAAGTCCAAGATCAAGGCACAGGCAGATTTGGTGTTTGGTTTGGGCCCTCCTCCTGGTTTGCAAACAGGCTTCTTCTCATTTTGTCCTCACATGTAGTGGAGAGGGGGATTAAAATCATCTCTCTCAGTTCTCTTCTTACAAGTACACTAATCCCATGATTAGCACTGCACCTTCACGTCCTAAGTGCTTCTGAAAGACCCCGCTTCCAAATTGCACTGCATTAGGGATTTAGGCTTCATTGTATGAATTTAGGGGGAACACACACATTCAGCCCATATCAGTCCATTTGTTAAGTTGCAAGATTCTTTCCTTTTTTGTTTTAGCATAAATTCTAGACTCCTGTGAAGCACTGTATGTACCTTCTTGATTTCCTCTTGAAACCAATCATGCATTAATTTGTGAAGTCAATTACTCAGAAGTTCAATAAAGTTCAAATAATTTTAAAAATCTGTTTTAAAAATTAACATTTTTAAACTAATGACCAAACAAATCTATATAATGCTATAAATGTCATTTCATTCAAGCAGTCATTTCTATAAGCTCATATTTACCTGATTCAATTTGTTTGCCTCCATAGGAAAGGGAGCGAATAATGAAACATGTTTTCCTGCAAGATTTCTTAAATGTTTCTTTTAATTTTAATTTTTTAAAATCAATGCAATTCTCTCATTGTTTGGAATAAGCTTTGTAATGTGATATCAATAATTTATAATAGTGAATTATTTATTAATTTTGGTGAGGTCAAGTAAATCCACAGTACATCTTTTAATGTATCTGTGTGTGTATGTGTGCACTGTAGTTTTATGTTAAACAATTTTTTTTTTTTTTGAGTCAGAGTCTCACTCTGTCACCCAGGCTGGAGTGCAATGGCGTGATCTTTAGCTCACTGCCACCTCCATCGCCTGGGTTCAAACAATTCTCCTGCTGCAGCCTCCTGAGTTTCTGGTATTACAGGTGCCTGCCACCACACCTGACTAATTTTTGTATTTTTAGTGGAGAGAGCGTTTCACCATATTGGACAGGCTGTTCTTGCCCAGGCAGGTCTTGAACTCCTGACCACATGATTGGCCCGCCTCAGCCTCCCAAAGTGCTGGGATTACAGGCGTGAGCCACCACACCCAGGTTATTTCAAACAAATTTAAATGTCAGCTTGTCATATAAATCTTAATGTGCAAGAACAAACAAGTTTTTCTAAGTTTAATGAGAGAAACATATCTGTATACTTATTCATAAGTATAATATTTGTATGCTTATTCATTCTATAAAATTTCACTTATCATTTCATTGATAACATTTGACTGCTGTCCGCTTGTTTTATATATTTCAAGGCATTTGAAAATGAAATCCATTTTCCAAGTTGATCAACTTGGAATCTCAGTGAAATACTTATGAAGAGGTGCCATAATTCCTCTTTTGGGAATAAGAAAATAGGGAGATGGGTGGTCAAATGATTTTCTGAGATTTTGATAGCAAGTCAATTGTTATGCTTTGTCTAGAAGTGTTGTGATTCTCAAAGTTTAGTAATTTTATACCATTCTAACCCATAATGTTATAATTCATGCCAAACCTAAACAAAGCTCACATAAAATATAATAATATGGTCAAAAACTACTATAATATTAGCTTAGAGATGTATTTCACAGCTTCTGTTTGGACTTTCATAGACGATGTTGTTTTTTTGAATTTTTTATCATGATAAAACACAAGCAACAAAAACTTTATCATTTTATCCACTTTAAAGTACACAGTTCTGTGTTATTAAATACATTCATAATGTTATACAAACATCACCGTCATCCATTTCCATAACTTTTTCTTTTAAGCCGAAACTCTAAACCCATTAAACATTGACTTCCCATTCCCCATTCCCAGCAGCTTCTTGCAACGCCATTTCACTTTTCGTTGCTATGATTTTGACTACTCTAACCACCTCATGTAAGTGGAATCAGACAGTATCAATCTTTTTATGACTTGTTTATTTCACTTAGCACAATGTTTTCCAGATTAATCCATGTTGCCTCAAATGTCAGAATTTCCTCCCTTTTGAAGGATATATGATATTCCATGGTGTATATTCCATATTTTGCTTATCCAATCGTGAGTCAATGGATGCATGGGCTGCTTCCACATTTTAGCTTTGATGAATAGTGCTACTATAAACATATTTATTTACATATCTCTTTGAACCCTGTTTTCAATTTGTTTCAGTACATACCTGGAAGTGGATTTACTGGATAATATAGTAATTTTATTTTTAATATTTTTAGAAACCACCATACTGTTTTCCATGGTGACCATACCATTTTTCATTCCTACCAACAGTGCACAAGTGTTTAAATTTTTTTTACACCTTTAGCAACACTTATTTTCTGGGTATTTTGGTAGTAGTCATCCTAATGGGTGTGAGGTAGTATCTCATTGTAGTTTTGATTTGCATTTCCCTCATCGTTAGTGATGTTAAACATCTTTTCATATGCTTGTTGACCATTTTATATCTTCTTTAGAGAAATGTTTAGTCAAGCCTTTTGCCCATTTTTTAATCAGGTTATTCATTTATTGTTATTGAATTTTAGGAGATAACTATGTATTCTAGATATTAATTTGTATCAGTTATATGATTTAAAAATATATTCTTCTATTCTATGGGTTGCCTCTTTACTCTGTTGACAATGTCTTTTGATGCACAATTTGAAAAACGATTCATAAAGTCTACTTTTTCTATTTTGTTATTGTTCCCGGTGACTTTGGTGTCATCCCCCAAATTGTTGCCAAATACAATGTAATGAAACATTTGCTCTTTGTCTTCTAAGACTTTGACCATTTTCGGTTTGATATTTAGGTCTTTGATCCATTTTGAGTTAATTTTTGTATACGGTGTTAGGTAAAGATCCAACTTCATTCTTCTGCATGTGAATATCTAATTTTTCCATCAGCATTTGTTAAAAAAAACTGTCCTTTCTCAATTAAATGGTATTGGCCTCCTTGTCAAGAATCACTTAACAAATTTTTGAGAGTTTATTTCATGATTATCTATTCTATTTTTGTATGTCTCTGTGCCTGTGTCACAATGTTTTGATTACTGTGACATCGCAGTAAGTTTTGATATCAGAAAGTGTCAGTCTCCCAGCTTTAGTTCTATTTTATAAGACATATTAGGCTATTAAGGATATCTTGAAGTTTCATATACATTTTAGAAGCTTTTTTCTATTCCTGCAAAAGACATCATTGGAATTTTAATAACATTTGTATTAAATCTATAGATTACTTTAGGTAGTATTGACATTTTAACAATATTAAGCCTTCCAATTCATTAACATTTGTATGTACATATGTCTTCTTTAGTTTCTTTCAGCAATGTTTAGCAGTTTTCATTGTATAAGTCTCTCATTTAATTGGTTAATTCAAAAGTATTTTATTTTTTCCAATGCTACTGTGAATGAAACTGTTTTTGTAACTTCCTTTTCAAAGTGTTGTCAGTGTATAAAATGCAATTAACATTTGTGTTGAGTTTGTTATCCTGTTACTTAGCTGAATTCATTTATTAAACAATTCAGTGAAATTTATAGTGTTTTTAACGTATAAGATTATATCATCTGCAGAAAGATAAATTTTTTTCTTTTCAATTTGGATGCTTTTGCTTATTTGTTTATTTATTTATTTTTGCCTAATTACTCAAGGGTGAAAAGAATTGGAGAAACTGGGTAGCCTTATTCCTGATCTTAGAGGAAAAGTTTTCAGTCTTTCAACATTGAGTATGATGTTTGCTGTCGATTTTTAATACATGGCTTTTATTATGTTGAAATTTTTTTCCTTCGATTTCTACTTTGTTTTTTTTAATCATAAAAAAGTGCTGAATTATACCAAATGCTCTTTTTACACCCATTGAGATGATCATTTGTTTTTTTTTCTTTCATTCTGTTAACTTGGTGTATTATATTGATTGCTTTTTTATGTTGAACCATTATTGTGTTCTAGAATTAAATTCCACAGGTCTATTAAGATGGTCTATTTCTTCATAATTTAGTCACGTTAGGTGTTGTGTTTCAAAAAAAGTGTCCATTTTATTTAGATTTTTTAATTTGTTGGGCTACACCTGATCACTTTAATCTCTTATAGTACTTTTAGTTTCTGGAGAATCCATTGTAATGTCCCCACTTTTATTTTTGCTTTTAGTAATTTGAGAATTTGTGTGTGTGTGTGTATCTAAAGTTTTGTTAATCTTTTCAAAAAACAATTTTTTGTTTCATTGATTTTATTTTTTTGTTTCTTTTTTCTGCTTTAATCTTTGTTTTGTTTATTCTGCTGGCTTTGGGTTAAGTTTCTTCTTTTTCTAGTTCTTTAAATTGTAAAGTTAGGTAGTTGATTTAAGTCCTTTTTTGTTGTGTAAGCATTTATAGCTATAATTTTCTCCCTCAGCACAACTTTTGCTGAATCCCATAAGTTTTTGTATATTTTATTTTTATTAGACTCTAAGTATTTTCTAATTTTCCTTGTGATTTCTTCTTTAACTCATTGGCTATTTATTAATAAGAGTGTGTTGTTACATTTCCACAATTTTGTGAATATTTCAGCTTTACTTCTGTTATTGATTACTAACTTCATCTCATTATGATCAGAGAAGATACCTGACCATATTCATATTTATATATCCATTTTCAAACATCTGTTAAGCGTTAATTTGTGGCCCAATATATGATCTATCCTGGAAAATTTCTCATGTGTATTTGAGAAGAATGAGTATTCTGTTGTTGGTCAGTTCTGTATCTGTCTGTTAGATTGAGTTGGTTTATTGTATTGTTTAAATCCTCTATTTCCTTACTTATATGTCTAGTTGTTGAGAGTAGGGTATAGAAGTCTCCAACTATTATTGTAGAACTGTTTATTTTTCCCTTCAATTCTGTCAGTTTTTGCTTCATACACTTTGATGGTCTTCCATTAATTGTGTAAATGTTCATAATTATCACATCTTCCTGCTGTATTGAACCTTTTATTAATATATAATCTTTTTTTGTCTCTTGTAATTTTTTTTCTGATTTAAAGTCCATTTTGTCAGACATTTGTACATCCACTTTTGCTCTGTTTTGGTTATTTGCATGGAATATCTTTTTCAGACCTTTCACTTTCAACCTACTTGAGGTTTTGGATATAAATGAGTCTCTTGTATCTCTTTTTGTCTATCCTGCCAATATTTTAGAGTAACTACTGATAAAAGGAGACTTCTATAATTTTTCTGGATATTTTCAAAAAATATGTGCTTTACTGCTCTTTTGTCCCTCACTTCCTATATTACTGTATTCTTTCATGTTTAGTCGATTTCCTATAGTTAAGTGTTTAAGTTAGATCTTTCTTATCTCCTTTTGTATTTATTCTACAGCTGTTTTATTTGTGATGCCATGGAGATTGCATTTAATATGCTGAAGTTATAATATTTTAATTGAAATTGTAGCAGCTTAACTTTAAATGATTGGGCTATTTATTTATTTTTAAGATGGAGTATCACTCTTGTTGTCCAGGCTGGAGTGCAATGGCACGATCTCGGCTCACTGCAACCTCTGCCTCCCGGGTTCAAGTGATTCTCCTGCCTCAGCCTCCCAAGTAGCTGGGATTACAGGCACATGCCACCACGCCTGGCTAATTTTTGTATTTTTAGTAGAGACAGGGTTTCACCATAGTGGTCAGGCTGGTCTCGAACTCCTGACCTCAGGAGATCCACCCACCTTGGCCTCCCAAAGTGCTGGGTTTACAGGCGTGAGCCACTGTGCCCAGCCTGGGCTATTGTTTTTTAAGTTCAAGGGAAAGACCTAGTCTGAATTTTTTTTTCTTGAATAGCAAGAAACTTTTACTTTTCTACCTATATTTTACTGACAACATGAGGCATGCTAGAAAGGCAAAGACTTCAGAAACTTTTCTTTATTCATGTATTTTTCTTAGCGTTCAAGTACCATAAAATTGTTCAAAGTCTCTTTGAAAAAGGAAAGGGGACAGATATTATTGCTTCATTTCTTTACATTTTAAATACATTTTTGGAGTATTTCTTCAAAGCTAAATGCATAATGGAGTTACAGTTTCTCTATGTTTTCTATAAACCTTAAGAGAGGAAATAATTTTACATCAAACTCTGGTTACAGTGCTATGACACAGATTTAAAGCTGTTGTTCAAAGCTTTTCTTGGTGTGTTTCTTGAGCCACTGTGGAAAATTAGGAAGGAAAAAACCCTCTAAAATGGTTTATACTGTGTTTACTTATATATTTTTGAGATTATATGCTGTGAGATTGGAGAAACATTTAAAATTGGTGCAAGTAATGAAAGAAATGCTGAAACATTTTAATGGATGATTGAAAATGAGAGGATTAGAGAAAAAATTAATTAGGTTATTTATAATATATTGTTGCAGTTTTCCTCTTCTGTTTATCTTGTAGAAATATTCAAAATTTTAATTCTGTTTTTCAAGAAAGCAAAGGACTTACAATATTTTTATATGACTTTATATAAAAGGACTTTATAGAACTAGTCTCATAATACAGCATTGATAGTAAAAATTCTTTAATTGCTATCTATTATTTCAAAATAATGGCTTAAGTTAACCCACTATTTAGTCTTATAGATAATGTAATTCACAGGATGATATTTTTAAAAGTGTCTAGAACTTATTCTAAAAGAGTAGAATTAATTTTTTTCACAATTCCTAGTAGAATTGACCTTAATACTTGAGTGAACATTTTTCTCTGTTGATCAAATTTATAAGTAAATGCACAAAGGTAGTAAAAAAGAATACTCAGAATGTCTATAATTTCGTGTCTCTTAAAGGCATCTTAATTGTTAATATTCAGGTAATGGCATTCTGGTAAATGTAACATATAAGCATGCTTTTCTTGACAGATTGGGACACTAATAAAATTAAAAGCTTTATAATCACCAAGATGGTAGTCTGGAAATAGCTGCATTTCATTAATATCTGAAGTGGTGATTTCACCTTCATCATGATTGTTTTCTCATTTTTCTTTTTATTGTTATTACCAAAGTGGTAAATTCAGAGACAGACAGACACACACACACACTCTCACACTGTTATGCATACATTTTACACATATCTATCTGTGTGTGTGTGTGTGTGTGTGTACGGTTTAAAAAAATTTGGTTTAGGATCCATCCTGGCAGATATAATTTTACTGTAATTTGGATTCTGTACATCTCTTGAGTATAGAAATATTTGTACCTCAGACAATTTAAAGTATCTACTCCTACCACAGAATGTCTCCATACAAAGGAGGCAATTTGAATATTTAATTTCTATCTTTAAAGATATATAATTTTTGTTTGTGTATTTATTTTAGATTCAGGGTGTACATGTGCATGTTTGTTATGTGAGTAATATTGTGTAATGATGGGGATCACATATGTTTTTGAAAAGACGTCTTATGTGTATCATAATGTATACTGGACTAAATTATAAAGAACCGTTACTTTTAGAGATCAGTATTTATTTTACCCTAAAAGATAATTCTGATATCTTAGCTACTACTCTTGAAAAGTACCAGTTTTTCAATACAATACTGGGTCCTTGTGCAGCTACATCAACATTTTAATTTACATTTTCCTGTATCTACGATACAAAATGGTACTTCAGATTGATTTGGCTTCTGTCCTTAGAAAGATGCCAAGAAAAATATGGTGAGTGATAAAGTAAAGATAAAATATCTAGAATTATTAAAATATAAAAAGATAAATTTTATAGCTTGGAAACTTTATTATAATAACAGTAACAATCATTAACTAATTATAATAACACTAATAACAATCATTAATTATACATGTGACTATATATGGTATGCTTCACAAACAATTTCGCATTTTCTCCTCCAATCGATCTTTTGCAGAATGTATTATTAGTACCCCTATTTTACAGAAAAAGAAATTGAGGCTTTATTATTGAGAGATTCAATAATCTCCTCAAGGGTTTGCAGATAGTAAAAGGGTGGCAGGACTGGAGCCAACCTAAGCTGGTCTAACTCCAAATCCTGTGCCTATCACCACCTTGTTGCAGCTTGTAAGAAACTTGAAGAGCTAATGCCTGAATTCCATTTATCCATTCATATTAAGTGGTTCCTTTGTCATTTCTTGAGCTCCTCAAGACAGAACTCTCCATCAACCCATTTCTGAAACCTTGTCTAATGAATTTTATTTATTGAGTTGAAATAAGTCTCCCAATAGGTTGAATGTATTGGTCATATATTTTTGCTTTGCTCATAAACACAGAATATTTTTTACACGAGTTATTTTGTATATGTCTTCCTCTTATTCATTCAAAAATATGATTTGAGTGCCTACTATTATTCCCAGAGCCAGAAATATAGCAGTAAACAAAATAGATCAATTTCCTGCCCTTTCAAGGTTTTAGATGGTGTGAGGAGGTAGGCAATAAAATAAATGAATGCAATGTGTAATAGGGAAGGAAGCTAGGCAATGTGGGCAGTGACAGGAATGAAAATTTTAAGCAAGGAATTTGGCAAGGGCTCACTGAGAACTTAGCCTTGAAGGAGGTGAGAATATGGCCTATGTCATATTCTCTGAGAAAAATGATTTGTAAGGAGAGCAGGTATAGTACAAGCCTTTTCAGGAAGAAAAAATATAAGAGACAGCAAGGGAGCCAATATGACGGGAGTTCAACAAACATATGGAAAATTGGAGGAGATGGGAAAGGAGAAGTGACTGGAGTCAGCTAGTGAAAGGCCTCAGGCCATTGTAGAGCAGTTTCTCAGCCTCAGCACCACGGATATTTTGGACTGGAGGACTCTTTATTGTGGGGGACTGTCCGGTGGTCTATAAGATGTTTGACAGCATCCCTCATCTCTGCCTACTATTTTCCAGTAGCATACACAGCCAATATTGTGGTAAACTCAAACATCTTCTGATATTGCTAAATGTCTTCAGAGGAGGTAAAACCCACCTCTCTCCAACCATTGAGAAGCACTGTTTTAGAGGCTTCAACTTTCAATGAAATGAGAAGCCACTGGACTGTTTTAAGCAGAATAAAATGATCTGACTTACATTTTAAAAGCATTATTTAAGGCTGGGCACGGTGACTCATGCCTGTAATCCCAGCACTCTGGGAGGCTGAAGGGGTGGATCACTTGAGGTCAGGAGTTCGAGACCAGCCTGGCTAACATGGTGAAACCCTGTTTCTACTAAAAATACAAAAATTAGCTTAACATAGTGGTGGCTGCCTATAATCCCAGCTACTCAGGAAGCTGAGGCAGAAGAATCGCTTAAACCCGGGAGGCAGAGGTTGCAGTGAGCTGAGACTGCACCACTACGTTCCAGCCTGGGTGACAGAGTGAGATCTTGTCTGAAAAAAATAAAATAAAATAAAAGCATTACTTATTTTTAGGCCTTATTTTCTTATACTAAAGAGTTTCTCACCTGCTTTCAATGAATGTCCTTGTATAATGTGCCTTTGTTCTCTCTCACTATGTTTGACTTTCTTCTGTGTTTCACACTTCAATTAAAAGTGTGTTTCTCACACTTCAATTAATAATTAAGATATATATATATATATATATCTTTATTAAGTCATATCATTCATTTCCTCCCATATGATGGAGTACTTAGATGGAGTGAAAAGCTATGGAGACATGGGGAAAAGTATCATTCCTTCAAAATTTCTGTAAAAGATAGAGATTTTATTGAGTTTTATAAGTACAGTTCCCCAAGAAGAGCACATTAAAGCAGTAGCTAGTAGATCATCCATACTAAAGAGATGACCTTTTAATAGCTTGGTTACATAGCAGCCCGGTAAAATCATCAATCAACAAGTATGAATGAAGCATCTACATATACAAAGTACCATATTAGACATAATAATCAATATTTATTGCTTTGCTTTTAAACATAGCCGAGCATATCTACAACATAAAGCTCTTTTCTGTTTTATTATCAACAGCGTTTCTTGTGTAATTGGAATTATAAACTCTGTAGAAAGTGTGTCACTGCTATAGTCACCAGTACTCGTAATCACTAAATTGTCCTTTTCCTCAATGCTTTTCTCTTTCTGAGTGTGTGTATATGTGGCTCTGTGCAAATGATATTCATACAGTCCAGTAATGTAGCCATGTTTTACTATTCTGTTTTTGAATTTAAGATACATAATTTCACTTGCCGATCTGCATTATGTATTCTGGATTTATCTATGAAATCTTTAACATGGAAAATTGTGTGTAGGCAGGATGCAACCCATATAGTTAGATATACCTATTTAGTGAGATACGTAGATAGATAGGTATATTTGTATCTCAAGGCAGAAATTTGTTAGAAAATATAAATTTTCTTAGATGCCATGCAAGGAATCAGCATAACTAATTATTTTTAAGAATCCCATATTAATGTTCTCATGTCTGAAAAACAATTTCCAAAGTTTAAAAAAGAGGCTAAAAAATGAAACTTTAGTAGAAGTTAATGGGATTTGGAGGTATGTAAACATCAAGTAGAATAATGGTTTATTCTTCACAAATTATTGGGAAATTGTATACACTACCATGTGACTTTTATTTATTTTTAAAAACAAATTCATATTAGCCTTAAGATAAATATATTTCTAAAATGTATCTTATATATTTATATTAACACCATTTAGGATTTTCTTGAGGTTTCATTGACCTCACTATGAATATTGATTTTTTATTGCATTGTAATACGTAGAAGTTCTTAAAGACTATTGAGATGCCTTAGTAGGTCTCTTTTCTTTATACCAAGAACTTCCAGATTAATTTATTTTGGAGCAGTGTGTTCATTCATTCATTTTCTCAACTTTTCTATTCAATAATGAAACATTTATTTAACTTCCCTAGACCAAGAATGGTGCTATGCACTGAAGATACAAATATTTTTAAAAGCTTTATATCCTTTCCTTAAATATGAAAAAATCATTTTCCTCAAATACGAGTGCAATTCTGAGTAATATAAATAGGAAACTATGGAGGCTCTGGGAGAGAAACAAAGTTCAACTGAGGGAGGTGGGTAGGAGGATAAAGTGAAAAAGATGAGGGAAAGACTTGCTCTGGGAGGGAAAAAGGCGACGTCTAAAAATCTTGAAGTTTAAGAGAATTTAGCCTGGTTTGGGAATGGTTGTGTTGGTCTATTTTGCATTGGTATAAAGGAATACCGGAGGCTGAGTGCTTTATAAAGAAAAGTTTATTTGGCTGTTGGTTCTGCAGACTGTACAAGAAGCATGGCACAAGCATCTGCTTCTGGGGAGGCCTCAGGAAGCTTTTGCTCATGGTGAAAGGTGAAGGGGGAGCAGGTGCATCTTATGGACAAAGAGGAAGTAAAAGAGATAGGAGGCGGTGACTTGCTCTTTTTAACAAGCAGAGTTCCTGTGAACTAATAGGGTGAGAACTCACTCATTACCTCAGAGAAGGCACCAAGCCATTAATGAAGTTCTGCCCTCTGGACACAAACCTCTCTCACTAGGCCACATCTCTAATATTGAGGATCACATTTCAACATGAGATTTGGGGGGGACAAATATTCAAATCATATCAGTTGTATAACAAAAAGCAGAAGGAGTTATAAGTGGAGGACATGGAAAGTGCTAAGTCTTGAGACATTGATCCATTCATGCTGTACAAGCAGCTCATTTAGTGGAATCACCAAGTCAAAAGGGTGGGAATAGTGAAAATAGTTTAGATTAAGGTATGGAATGGTGAGCAGGGGAATATTTCTAGTGGGGGACTTATATGCATGTTGAAATTTTAGATCCATTCCTAGAGGTATTGGGATGACATTAAAGGGGCTTATGCAGGGATATAACATAAGATTTGTGTTAAAGAAAGAGTACACTAATGGCAAGTACAGAGATGTGATTAGAGAGAAGGAAATATTATAGAATTAGGAAGATCAGTTATATATCTGTTGTATACCATAGAAAATCATTCCCTGAGCTCAAGGGTACAGAATCTAGAAATATTGTGGAAATCATATTAAAAGTTGGTGAATGAATATGAAGGAAAATACAGGAGGGTTCTAAGATGAAGCCTTATTGTCTAGGTCACACAATTGAGAGATTCAAATTGAGCTTCCCTTCACTGAGATAGAAACAATAAGAACAAAAATCAAATTTGGTGTGGAAAATTAATTGTTTCATACAGATATTGTAAGCTTAAGATATTTGAAGAATTCCCAGGTTTGGCTATTTCATAGACTGTGTGTATATTCAAGAGCTCAACAGAGAAATCTAGGTTCAAAATTTAACAGTGTCTATAAAGTTATAAACCAGGAGTGAATTTCACTAAGGGAGAATGAGCAAGGCTGCAAAGTAGGAAAGATGAGAACTGAGCTGTGGGAAGAATTAATTGGAATAGGAGGGATAGCTTTCAGATAATACTAATGTGTTTATTCAGTAATAGGAGGGCAATTACAATGTTAGCGTGTTCAAAATTCAAGAGAGGAATTTCAAGAACAGAAGAATATTAATACTGAAATGAGGAAGGGGGTTTAAAATAAGTAATTTTTTGTAGGCAGAAGGGATGATTAAGCAAAAGAAGAGTTACTGATTTCCTGATAGAAACATTTTTTCAATGGAATATAAGAAGTGGATCTCTAGATGTAGTGAATGAGTGATTAGGATATGAATAAACAGAGCAGTGGTGTACATCTCTCTATCAAAGTCTTGGTTGTAGACAACTGGTGAGGAAGAGTTTCAATATAATGCTTCTGAGCTGAGGACTGCTCCTAAGCCCAATTATTACACTGGCACTTCCTCAGCTTTGTCTTTAGCATGCAGCAGATCTAGATTTAATGCTCCCAATTCAATGATTCAAAATTTAATAAAAATTAATGTCTTGAAATCCATGTTACATATGCCATTGTATTAGGCCAGACTTGCATTGCTATAAAAAAATCTGAGACTGTAATTTATAAAGAAAAAAGTTTAATTGGCTTACAGTTCTGCAGGCTGTACAGAAAGCATAAAGCTGGCGTCTGCTCTGCTTCTGGAGATGCCTCAGGGAACTTACAATAATGGCAGAAGCTGAAGCAGGAATAGGCACTTCTTAAATGGCAGGATCAGGAGCAAGAGACAGAGCCAGTGTGGAGGTGGGCTACACACTTTTAAACAACCAGATCTCATGAGAAGTCACTCACTCTCACAAGAATAGCACCAAGGGAATGCTCCCAAGCTATTCATGAGAACCCATCCCTAGGATCCAATCACCTCCTACCAGGCCCCATCTCCAACACTGGGGATTACAATTTGACATGAGATTTGTGTGGGGACGGAGTTCCAAACCATATCACCATGTACATATATTATTTTAAAAAAGAAAACATAAAATAAAGAAAGGCACATGGAAAACTAGAAATTAGAATAAGTTCATAAGAAAACATAATAGTTCAAGCAACTATGTATCCATATTGCCAGATAATTTTTTTAAAAAAGTTGTCATTGGAACAAAAATCTCAAAGAAGAGAGACATAGATGAAAAGACAGAGGATTCAAAACAAACAAGAAGATGTTGAAAATTAACTAACTATAATGAGGAACACAAAATGCTTGCCAAAATATATAAGCCAGATGAGAAATGGCAAAGAGGAGGGAAGACATTACTTCTGAAATGTTAGTGATATAGGAAGAAAAAAAAAAGCTAGGGAAAATTCAGCAAAACCAAATGGAAAAAGAATAAACACAATAGCCTTTAGAGAGGAAGCTATAGATATAGAAGAGGGACAAATGTCATTGAACATATGCATATGTGATGTTCTTGAGGGTTGAGGGTACAGAAGCAAAAACAGCAAAAAGGCAATAAATAAATTGTTTTCTATGATAAAGGAAGATCTGAATCTGAAGAAGAAATAACAACAATTAAAAAAAGTGCAGGGTGGTGAAAACAGAGACATTTGCTGATGAGTTTCTTAATATAAAAAGATTCTAAAATCCTATGAGTATTCAGGACAAAAATTTAAAAAGAAGAAAAAGTTTCTTTTAATAGGCATAGCAAAAATTTCAATATAAAGAAGACATTAAAAAGGCATTTAAAAGAGAGAGAGACTAAAATAACAGAACTAAATAAATCACATTTATATTAATAAATATAAATGTTGTAAATTGATTATCAAAAGCAAACATTTTCCAGTGAAAAAAATTGAAAGTCTTCATCCTGAAGGCTCCTGTGATCCACATTAAAGAAATTTGTATGCCTTTTCTCCTATTAATCTGCCTTTTGTGAGTTGATTTTTCAGTGAAACTTCAGAGGGCCAAGGGGAAAGCTCTCCCTTGGCCCCCACAGTTATGGCATAGTCTAAAGGATCCCCAAAGCCACTCTACTCTTCTGGAAGCCACCATGAAGAGAACCCACAAAACTGAAAAGCCAGCAGAAGGGTAAGAACTTCTCACCAGTCTGGCTCCCAGTCTTTCCCTCTGTGCAGTCTGGCTGAGTAGATGGTAAAATTCACTGTTCTGTCTCAAGGTTTTGATTAATGGGGAAAAAGGATTTGTGTGACTAGGCTTGATATAGTGACTCTGGTGTACTTTTCATACTTCACGATATGAATATTTATATTGCTTGATCTCTTTCCGCTCAGAAATAGATTTGTTTTTGCTGCCATTTTCCTTTGTCATCGCTTTGTTCTGTCATAAAGAAAGTCACCATAGACATAGAACCCCTATTAGCCTGCTGTTCAAGATGGCCCTACAGACTCGTAGGTTTTATGGTGCTTACTTGACCAGTGTCCCCATTAACACAAATTTTTCTGCGATTCTCTAAAATAAAAAAAGAGTGATATTTTCCTCTCGTCTTATCTTATGTCCTCCAGAGCTTGATTTGTGACCACATGGGGAAACTTTCTCTTGGTCTCTGCCATCTAGAGGGAGTGATTTTTCAGGTCACTTAGGCGGCCAATCTGAAAAGATTGTGAGTCTGAGGAATGTAAGACTTTAAATAGTACACTTTTTGTTCTGAAAGTGCAAAGCTTTTAGGTGAGTTTTGTCTTAATAGTTCCTATCTCTGTGGGGTTTTTGCCATTTGAAGTCTATTTCTAAAAGTGAATTTTTGGGGATCATGGGGACTGCCCCTTCTATGCCCTCTCCAGGAACACCTCTTGCTTATACGGTAAAAACTTGGGAAATTACCACCTAAACTTTACATGAAGAGGCTTTGGGGTTTAGTCACTGTTGGAATTAAGTACACCCTTGAAAATTCTAATTGCAAAAGCCAAAAGATAGGTCTTTCAAATTGGACTAAAATTCCTAAGTTTAAAACAAAAGATTTTAAAGACCTCTTATTATAAACGATTGATGAGAAGACCAAATTAAATGAAGGACACATAATAGTGTCATAGTTATATTTAAAATTCTCTTAACTAAATTAAAGAGCCAAAATCTGACCTAAAACAGTTAAATGCAAACTGCACATGTGGCTTCCATGCAGGATCAACGATGGAGCCTGCTCCCATTAGTAGTCTGGTACTTAAAATTCCCACTGCAGCTTGGATTCACCTCCTGATAACTGAACAACAATGGCCACTCTCCCTTGTGGTTTAATAGTTAAAACTCTGCACTTTAACCTCCACAGCATGGGTTTAATTCCAGGTCAGAGAACCAGTTCTTCTTACTTTGATATTTGTGTGACATTAGGATTGCTAATTTATTATTGATACTTTTCTCTTTTGGGGATTGCTTTTAATTTTCTGTCATCTTCCATTATTGGGGTATATGGAGCTTTTGAGTTTTTGTGTGTGTGGATAGTCAGTTGAGAAGCTAAGACTCCAGAAAATATGACAAAAAAGAAATGCAGGTTATACTCAATTAATGGATAGCGAAACTTGCCCATCTTTGAGCTGTGTTTGAGGGTTCTGGATCTCATAAAAACCAGTTGCCACCTCTTTGGAGAAATTTTGTGCATCCTTGGTGAAGTCATAACCTTGCTTAAGGGACTTAGGAGGATACCTTTGGTAAAGAAGTTCAAAAGCCCAAAATATCAGCTGTTTGTCCCAGCTAAAATCTGGTAATAACAGATTTGGAAGAATGTTTTCTATGAGTTCTATGTTTAAAGTCAGCTTAATTAAAAACTAATCCAAACTATACGTAAATGGCTTTCTGCCTTTTCTCTTTAGATCTTGTTCTGGAATTTTTTTTCAGTTGACTAAAATCATTTTTTAGAATTATGCGCTTGATTTCTCTGTTTGCCTCCTTTCTTAAGAATTGTTCTCCTGTTTACTTTTCCCTACTCTTTCTTTGTCTTTGCCCTCTTAGATACCACATGGAAAAATCTAAAGAATACTTCTGATGACTGAGACATCTTAAGAAAATCAGAAAAGGCACACCCACTCCTTTTGCAGGGCGGAGTGGGGGAGGGGGTCGTCTGTTTTCTTTGTGGAGTTTCAAGAGTAATAGGCATATTCTTCTCAGACCGAAAGCTTGGATGTCTACAGTATTGTGTTGTCTGATCTCTTTGGCTTTTGAGTATGGCAGAAATACTTTGTATTGTGAGAAAACTTAACCTTGGTGTGTATGATGGATAGGTAAGAGATAGAGTTTTAGAGGTGTCTGGTAGCAGTTGGTTAGAGTAAATGGTTATTACTACAGGGGGTTGCTTGTCTTTGCATGTCTGGGTAGGAAAAGCATGGTTTGGAACACCTACAGGTTATGGAAACACTCCTCCACTAAGGCAAAAGCCTACTCATAAGGGATGGAGAGATAACAGAGTGGGCAGTCCTTGCAGGGGGGTGTACTGTGGAAGCATTACACTATCTTGCCCCATGGCATTGTCCTGTTTTTGAAGACCTAGGATTTAATGTAGAAATGAAATCCGGCCGGGCACAGTGGCTCACGCCTATAATCCCAGCACTTTGGGAGGCTGAGGTGGGCGGATCACGAGGTTAGGAGATGGAGACCATCCTGGCTAACACGGTGAAACTCCGTCTCTCCTAAAAACACACACATACAAAATTAGCCGGGCGTGGTGGTGGGTGCCTGTAGTCCCAGCTAGTCAGGAGGCTTAGGCAGGAGAATGTTGTGAACCGAGGAAGCGGAGCTTGCCGTGAGCCGAGATCATGCCACTAAACACCATCCTGGGCGACAGAGCGAGACTCCATCTCAAAAAAAAAAGAAAGAAAGAAAGAAGGAAAGAAAGAAAGAAGGAAAGAAAGAAAGAAAGAAAGAAAGAAAGAAAGAAAGAAAGAAAGAAAGAAAGAAAGAAAGAAAGAAAGAAAGAAAGAAAGAAAGAAAGAAAGAAGTCGATTTGGAGGTATCCACGTTTGACTTTTCATCTGTGCCTGCCTCTCACATATTTAAATATGCGACTCAAAAAACTGTATATTTTCTTTCCTCTACTCACTAAAAGGCTTCACCCTAAAGCCAATAATCTAATTAAGAAACAAAGTAGCTAATAGGCCAAAATACAACTTTCTGAAAAGAATTCTTCAATTGTAAGGGTATCTCCCTCCCTGTACCTAAGCCTCCATTAACTTTTAGAATGGGGAAGACAATGGCTTAAAGTTCATACAACAAATCTTGCCTTTGTTTAGATCTAAGTTCTTTGCCTTTCAGATGTACATTTTCTACTTGGCTCCACCTAAGAGTCATGGGCTCTGGAGATCCAAATTTAGAGTTGCCTAGTTAACAATTGTTTATGACATAAAACAGATAGTCAAGAGGTTAATAGTCTAAAGTAGGGGAGAAAAATATTTGAGAACTGGCAAATGAAAACTCTTATAAATCTATAAAATTTGCTCTGTGTATTTGCATGTCTACATGTTTATATGAGTCATGTGTTTGTTGTACTTTACTACCAAATTTTATGAAAGAGTTCTAATTAACTGACTTAAGGAAAAAGTAAATGCTTTAATCAAATATTTTATCAGAAAAACATTGAAATGCCTTATAATTCACATGACTTCAGTAATCTTTGGTAAGTAAAAGTAGTTTGAAATTTTTTATAGTAATTTAAAACCTGAAAGTCATATTATATTACATTAAGTAATCCTAGGTGTTTCACCAAAAATTAGATCTACTAAGAGTTAATATGCTAGTTAATCTATGCAATTAATACTATTAGATAAAGAGAAACAATTCTATATACAGAATGTATAAAGAAAGGTGTCTTTTTAGTAAAAACATTTACAAAAAGGTATAAAAATATAGTTTTTATTAAGGGAAAGGTAATGTTTGGCTAGTTTAATGGTTTTTAAGTATTTTTTTAATTGAAGGAATAAATGGAATGACAGATAAAACTGCATGAATGTAGAAATTTAGGAAAGAAAGAATGAAAGAAATTATCAAAATTTATAAAAGGTTTAATACACTAATGCAAAGGTAAAATTTGGTTTTCTATTTTGAACAAAATTTTAATGTACTATTAATAAGGGATAGTAAAAGAGTTTTGTTTGCATTTTGAGTGAACAGTAAAAAAAAAAGGGAAGAGAGAGATCTAATTTACTTCTTTTTCAGTTTATCTTTCATTTTGTCATTATTAGGCCTTCTTAATTGTTTGGAAACTGAGTCTCTTCACTGCCAAGAGTAAAAAAGGGTTTTACCTTTTGAAATCTTTCAATTATCACTTCGACTAAATGAATGACTTATTTTACAGTGACCCTATTTTATGATATCTTTAAATCTTTGATATTTGACAAATTTTCCACAATCAAATTCCAACTTCAGTATTGTCAACATTATTGCACAATATTGTCTTGGAAGCACCATCTAATGCAATTAAGTAAAGGGAAGGTGTGAAGTATAAATAATTGAGTAGAAAAATTTACAATTTATTTGTATGTACAACTCAAAAAATGATCTTAAAAGCAATGAGAACTACACAATTCCTAGAAGCTAACATAGGAGAAACTCTAGATGGCTTTGTGTTTTGATGACCTTTTATAACACCAAAGACATGATCCATGAAAGAAAAAAAATTGATAAGCTGCATTTGATTAAAATTATAAATTTGTGCTCTGCAAAAGTTGTTATCAATAGAATAAAAGTACAAGCTACAGATTGGATCACATCTTTGTAAGAAATGTACCTGATAGAAAACTGTTATCCAAAATGTAAGAAGAATTCCTAAATCTCAACACTAAGAAAACAAACAACCCAATAAAAAACAAAACAACAACAACAACAACAACAAAATACAAACAGAACCATGGGCCAAAGACCTCAATAGATAACTCTCCAAAGAAGATATACAAATGGCACATAAGTTTATGAAAAGGTGCTTCCCATTATAGGTCATCAGGGAAATACAAATTAAAACAATAATTAGGTACCACTACATGCCTATTAGAATGACCAAAGTCCAGAACACTGACAATATCAAATTCTTGTGAGGATGTGGAGCAATAGGAACTCTTATTCATGGTGAGTAAGAATGCAAAATGGTACAGTCACTTTGAAAGGCAGTTTGGCAGTTTCTTACAAAACTAAACATACTTTCACCATATGTTCCAGGAATCACACTGCTCCTCAGAATTTACCCAAAGGAGTTGAAAACTTATGTCTATACAAAAACCTTCATGTGGACGTTTATAGAAGCTTTATTCATGATTGCCAAAACTTGGAAACAACCAACATGTCCTTCAATAGGTGAATGGATAAATACACTGTGATACACTCAGACAATGAAACATTGTTCAGTGCTAAAAGGAACTGAGCTTTCAAGCTATGAAAAGACAGGTAAGGACCTTAAAAGCAATATACTAAGTGAAAGAAGTTAATCTGAAAAATCTACATACTGCATGATTCCAACTATGTGGCATTCTGGAAAAGGCAAAACTATGAAGACAATGAAAAGGTCAGTGGTGGCCAAGGGTTGGAGCTGGGGAAGGTATAAATAGGGAGAGCACAAAAGATTTTGGGGGCAATGAAACTACTCTGTGTGATCCTATAATTGTGGGTATATGTCATCATTCATTTGCTCAAACCAACCCATAGAATGTACTAATACCAAGAATGAAGTCTTATGTAAACTATCGACGTTGGGTGACAATGATGTGTCAGTGTAGGTTCATCAATTGTTAACAAATGTATCACTCTGATGAGAGTGTTGAGAATGGGGAGGCTGTGCATGTATGGACGGAGGTAGTATATTGAGAACTCTCTGTACCTTTTGCTCAATTTTGCTGTGAACCTGTGAATTCTGTTCCTATAACTTGCTGTTTCCCTGATGACACATGATGGGGAACACGTTTTCACGCACTTATTTGCCATTTGTATATCTCATCTGGTGAGATTTCTGTTCAGGACTGCTGCCCATTTTTTAATTGGGTTGTTTTCTTATTGTTGAGTTTTATGATTTTTTTTAAAAAATAAAGGTAACAACAGATTTTATTTACTGATGGAAATGATCTAATAGACTGTAAAAAATGATATACGGGAGAGAGAGTAATCCTGGAGCAAACTTCTAGGATACAAGAATGATTGTATAGTGTCCAAGTCTCTTAATTATCCCATCACTGAATTTTTATTATATTATCTTTCCCCTTTACTCCTTTCTGCTATGTCCTCTCTAACCTAACGCATAGGCTTGGATGTCTGTTGCTATCAGTAGACTAAGTGAGCCCATTTTAGATGCATTTGTGTTTTTTTTAATCCTCTTTTTTCTTTTCTGTAATGTTAATTTTCCTACTCTTTCACATTCTTCTTTTGCCATGTCCTTTAGTCTTTTGCTCTATTTTTATGTCCTTTACAACACTGACTTTAGTTATAAAAGGATGCTGTTGAGCATTCTTCGATATTTTGGCTTAATGAAATTATTCTAAGATGTTACCATCTCTGAAAAATATATTAAAATTTATTGTAAAGTGTAAGTGTTTACTCATGAAAATTCTTCTATTTTCCAAATTTATAATTCAAATATAATTTTTAAAATCTCAGCCCAATTATTCTGGCCTTCTTATTCTGAGACAGAAATAAAAAAAATTACAAAAAATTCTTGGCTATATATATAGTATATAAAATATATATATATATATATATATGTATGTATATATATAAAATGTTCATTTAGCTGGTATCTACCGACATAGCTCCTGCCCTTAAGTTGCTTAGTCTTGTTGAAAACAGTAAATAAATAATTACCACAAAAATAAGAATATTTAAGATCCAAATAATAAATAGTTTGTAACAGTTTCTATTTGTTGTGAGATAGTAGCCTCTCACTGAGTGCTCTTCTTAGGGTCAAATGAGATGATGCATAAAAATTGCTTAATTTAGTACCTGTTGCACAGTAAGTGCTCATTAAATGATAGTGCTAGTAACTGTTGGTTCATTGCTCTTTATCTTGGTTTCAAATATTCAGAAGCAGCAGATACTAAAACAAGGATTTCAGTGTAAATATACTACTTAGTAGATGATTCTAGAGTACCAACACAGTGCATTAATACTATCAAACTAGTTATCACTTTGAGTAAATGGATCTTGGTCCTGCTGGAGAACTCAGGGAAATGGTGTAGATCATAAGAACACAATTCAGAATCATCGTCCACCCCTACTCCATTGATTATGGACACTAACGGTACTTCTCCAACGCATTGACCACCATTGGGTAAACAGGGATTCCAAGGACATTAATTCCCTTACACTTCTGACTTGTACTTAGTGTGGATTCATTGTGCCTATCCTCCCCCACAAAAGTTGTCAGGTGGGGAATTATTCATGTTAATCACAGGAGGCTTTTTGTTGTTGAGGTGAGTGCCAAACACCCACAGTGTGTGCTACCCTCCATTATGGTTATAACTGTTATTACTAGAGTAATTTAGGACAACAAGCAAGAGTTACTCAATTCAGTTTATGAAAATAAAGACTTTCCAAAGAAAGGAAAATCAGTGCTAAATGTAATAATTGAAAAACACAAGTGTGGAAGTCAAAGTTTGCCAGAAAAAAAGAAGAAATAAGATGTAGAAAGGTCTACAGGCTCTGGAGAGCATACGGGAACTGAAAATAGTGTAGTCTGCCTGCAGTGCAAGTTGAGGGTTGGCTCTCAGAGGGATAAAGACAAAGAGCTCCGAAAGGGCCAGATGACAATTAATGTCACATGCAACTTGACAGTATTTGAATTTTAAGGGCAATGGTGACCCACATAAGTATTGCCTGATTTGCGTTTTAGACAGATTGCTTTTGCTGCTATAAGATGATAAAAAAGAACATGCAAATCAAGAATGAATAAAAAAGTTTGATGTAGTCTCCAAAGAGATTATAAACCATGTTAAATTAAGCTAAAACTGCTTTTTACATAATTTTAGTTTGATCTCAAATTTCTCCATACACAGTGAACTATAACCTAACTGGATGTATCAACAGACTATAATCTCCTCTTCTACCAATCACAGAGTTTTGATCAATCGCAGGTGGCCAACTATTTAAACTATGTTCGAGGAGACAAACTCTAAGTTGTAACCAATTCAGTTGTTTCTGTACCTCACTTTCATTTTCTGTACATCACTTTTCTGTTTCTGTCCATAAACATTATCCAACAACGCAGCAGCCTCAGAGTCGCTCTGAATCTATTCTGGTTCTGGGGTCTGCCTCATTCACTAATCTTTCTCTGCTCCATTAAACGCTCTTAAATTTAATTTGTCCAAGGTTTTCCTTTTAACAGCATAGTCTTTGACCATGAGGCTAAAACTGTGCCACAGGTCCCTTCTAGGAATGTGATGTACCAGGTGGTCAACCCAGCCTACTGGGATATGAGGATTTCTGAAGCTATGAAACAAAATTTGTTCCCACAGGGAACCATTTTGATATCTACAGTTATAAATATTCTAAGCTGTCACACCAGTATCTGCTTTCTTAGAGGAAAGACAAAAATTGTAAGGATTGCATCTCACATTGAGAAAAAAAAAATCATTAAAATGCCTTGAGAATGAATCATGTTAATCTGTTGAAGTTCCACATAAAGAAATCTTGTGTACCTGTGTGGCATAAACTGAAAATAAAAAAAAATAGTCCAAACAAAGCATTTTTAAGAAAAATTAGCACTGCATACAGAACTAAGAAAAAAATTCTAAAAATATTAATAGTAGCTATCTTTGGGTATGGAATTTGTGCTGATTATTGCTCTTTATGCTCACCTGAGAGTTTTCATTGTTGTTATTTTTTTTAAATCCACATCTCTACTTCACATGAAAACAGCATTGACCTAAAACAAATACAGCATTCTATAGAATTATCCTATTTGAGGATTATTAGTGGCATTAGAAGCATAAGAGATCTGGCTGCTGATTGGTAAATATATTGTATCTTATTTGCTAGCTTCAGTTGATTCACAGTTGCCTAGTACAATATGTTAAGAATGGTTCCGAAGTTGCACTTGACTTAAGTAGAAGAGAGGGCTGTGATTGATTAGTTATGTCTGCCATGGGTGCAGAATGTGAAAATTGTGATTATCTCTCAAGTGTTTATGGTTGTCTCTCAGGTGCTTGTCATTTGTTATCTAAATTAATTCCCTCATCTGATATATTGCAAAACTGAAGCCCTTTAAAGGAATTTATTGCTTAAGATCATACAGAATTCTAATTACAGATCAATTATATACACTTCTAATTCAATAGCAAAAGATGTATGCCTTGAAAATTTTCACCCATGTACTAAATGCTTCTTGTGTTGAATCTACAAATAATCTGAGGATCCTTTAAAAAGCAAAATTAAAGAACAAATAAAAATAGTTCCCCTAAGTTGTCCTAGTCCCTGAATCATTTTCCCTATTCAGAATTCCACAGTCTGAGCTAGCTAATTCCACCTGACTCTGAGATCTCACATTTATTTTTAAAACCACAAACTAGCATGCCCAGACATGAGGTAGCATTTTCTCCAAATTGAATAACATTCAGGACTCTGTCATTTTCCTAATGAGGACTCACGCATAGCACCAAGCTTTCTGAAGCATATCCAGGTGAGGACATGTGATTTTAGCATCTAGACTTGCTAAGGGACTCATTTAATGACAAAGTGTCCTTACAGGAGATCTTGAGAGTCAACACATGATTAAACACGGAAAAGCTGGCAGAAATCTGTGTTTTTCTCGAAGGAGAGCAGAAGTACAAGGTTATCCCTTTTAGGATGAGAAGTACTACTGACTTATTTAACAATGATTACAGGAAATTTTGACGAAGGTGGAAAGTAGCGATGTTGAGGAGTAATTGTGACTGGGTACTTGTGGACCATAGTTCAGATTGCTTTTCCTCTCATGATTCAGAGCTAATCTTATACATAGGTCTCCTAATATCAATCTCTGCTTGCATAACTTAAGTGAAGAGGTGCCTTCTATTTGTTTTTAGATTTTAGCTGAGTTGCCACTTTGGTTAGGAAGTTTTTCCTTTATTCCTCTAACTGAGTCTTGATGCCCTTCCTGTAGATTTGCTTACTGTGCTTTATTTTGGGGAGCCACAGCACATGCTGGTGTATTATCTTGACAATTTACTTGCATCTTTCTTCTACTTCACTATAAGCTTTGTAAGAGCAGGGAGTTTCTTTCGTCAACAATGAGAATTCTTCAGTTCTATAATGGTGTCTATTCTAAGTGATTACTAAATATCTATTAAGAAAAGGAGAGATGAATGAATTAAAGACTTACCTATTGTATTTTTAGAGAAGTATAAGGAACAGAAATGGCTAGACCCATCTCACCATTGGTTCTAAGTCTGCCATGCAATTTACATGGGACTTGTGAGAAAGTGGGCATGGGAATGGAACTGGCTTACATGTACATTACTCCTTGTAGTCATTAAAGAGGTTCTGAAGGGATAAACTCCTTTCATCCTGACTTGTCCTTGAGATCTAAAGTACCACTTAGGTTAAAAAATGATACAGGAAAACCTATTCCTCTCATCAGATCAAAGGGATATTACATTGATCTTGAATGCCAAAATTCACAACAGTCACAACAAGTAAAAGTATAAAAATTGTCGGCATACAAATCTCATTAACTTGCACATTTTGAAGTTGATAAAAACAAGTAAAATTGGCTTTGCTTCATTTCAGAGTAATTACTGTACTCGAAACTTGGAAAGTCAATAAATGCATTTCAATGTATATGATACAATAATCACGCATTATGGTCCATTTTCAAACAAATCGTAATTACTGTCTGAATATGACTCAAATCACCAAGGAACTTTCATAAATGCTAAATTACTTGCAATTTGAACATGCTAAAAATGCCATGCCATTTGCAACACAGAACAGATGAGCAATGGGCCAAACTTAGAAGATGCAATTCACTCAAAGTGATGTTACTAAAATGTGTAACAGATGGTATGGTCACTGAGGTTACAAAAGGCCTGTTTATGTAAAAAAACAAATAGAATTTTAGATATTTTCAAGTATTTCTAAATAAGATGTTCTTAAATAGCTTGAACATTCTCTATTCTGGGAATATTAATCAATCTCCAAAACTTTTTTTTTTTTTTTTTCAAAAATCTCTCTTCTGGCAATGTAAGCAGGTAAGCAGTTTGGGCCCTTTTAACATTTCCCCTTTGGGTACAGGTATTTACACACACACACACACACACACACACACACACACACACATTCTAAATAAGATTCCACTAAATGCCAGGTTTTTTGCTAGGGAATGATTAAAAAGAGATGAAAGATACCATCTTTCCTCTAAGAGATTCATGGTTTAGCACAAGCTGATCAGTGGTGACTAAACAGTGAAATTATCAGTCCTTCATCTCATTGACTGCAGGAGAATCTTTCTGAGCCTTAGCTTGAAGAATGAGTAAGGACTCAGAGTAGATTGGATGAAAGAAAACACAGAATAGTCAGAAACACTTTAGAGGACTGGCAATAGACAACTCAAGAGAAATAGGCAAAGAGATGCCTAATTACAGTGGACCTTCAGTGTCATGCTAGAGTGTCGATTTTATCGTAATGGTAAAGATAATCTATTGAAGGTTTTTAACAAGGGAAGCAATCCTTCAGATTTATACATTAGAAGGACTCATCTGGCAATATGGACGACTGATTAAAGAGAAGCAAGACCAAGCAAGGATTCCAAAGTCCATGTTAATACACTCATCCAAGTAAGATATAAACCACTTAAATAAAACTCTTTCAAAATATGGGAAGGAGCTTATTCCTCACTGGTAGTACCACTATCTGAATGACTAGTAATTTAGTACTTCCATATCTTGTTGTCTGGGTGGAGTAAAGTAAGTCTTTCCTATAGCTAAATTTAAGCTGGTCCTATATATGTATTTCCTAATCTCCACAAACAGACATCACAAAAATATTTAAGCAAATTTTATAAATAATATTTTATGCACCCCATTTAGCTTTATTATTTATTTAACCATGCCAATATTTGTTGAGCACTCATTATTTGTGCAGCACAGTGGGAGACATAGAAGGAATGGTACAGGCATAATCTTAATCCTGAAATATCTAGAGTTTTTTTAGCAAAATACTAATTACACAAAAAGATTTATTTTGAAGTATGTGAAGGCAGAATTTAATAAAATGGCCGAAGGGTTCATATATATATATGAATAGATATTTTTAGAGTAGGAAAACCAGAGTAATTTGTCTAGACTGCGGTGGTATAGGAAGATTTTCTTGTTTAAATGGTCCTGTAGGCATGCTTCATTGTTTTTTTATTCTTTTGTCTCCTCTGACTGTGTATTTTCAAGTGGCCTGTCCTCAAGCTCACTAATTCTTTATTCTCCTTGATCAATTCTGCTGTTAAAAGACTCTGATGCAGTCTTTAGTATGCCAATTGCATTTTTCAGCTCCATAAGTTTCTGCTTGATTCTTTTAAATTACTTCAATCTCTTTGTTGAATTTGTCTGATAGAATTCTGAATTTTGTCTCTGTGTTATCTTGAATTTCTTTGAGTTTTCTCAAAAGAGTTATTTTGAATTCTCCATCTGAAGGGTCATATATCTCTGTTTCTCCAAGATTGGTCCCTGGTGCCTTATTTAGTTCATTTGGTGAGGTTATGTTTTTCTGGATGGTCTTGATACTTGTATATGTTTGTCTGTGTCAGGGCACTGAAGAATGAGGTATTTATTGTAGTCTTCTCAGTCTGGGCTTGTTTGTACCTATTCTTCTTGGAAAGGCTTCCACATATTTGAAAGGGCTTGGGTGTTGTGTTCTAAGCTGTATCAGCTTTAGGGGACACCCCAAGCCCAGTAATGCTGTGGTTCTTGCAGACTTGTAGAGGTACCATCTTAATGGTCTTGGATAAGATATGGGAGAATTCTCTGGATTACCAGGCAGAGCTATTTTATCTCTTCCCTTACTTTCTCCCAAACAAATGGAGTCTCTCTTTCTCTTTTTAGTTACCTACAGCTGGGGGTGGAGTGACATGAGCACGCCTGTGGCCACTACCACTAGGAATGCACTGGGTCCAGCCTGAAGCCAGTACAGCACTAGGTCTCCCTCGAGGCCTGCCATGATCACTCCTTGGCTACCACCTATGTTTGATCAAGGCCCTGGGGCTCTACAATCAGCAGGTAGCAAAGCCAACCAGGCATGTGTCCTTCCCTTCAGGGAGATGAGTTCCCTCAGCCCCAGAGCAGATCTGGGGGTGCTGTCCAGGAGTCAAGGACTAGAGTCAAAAAGGTTCAAAGTTTACCTGGTGTCCTGTTGTACTGTGGCTGAGCTGGGAGTCAAACCACAAGATGCAGTCCTTCCTGCTCTTTCCTCCCCATTCCAAAGTCAGAAGGACTTCACCCCATGGCCACCACTACTGCAGGCCCATGGAGAGTACTACCAGACTAATGCAGGTTCCCTTAAGACCCAAGAGTTCTTCAGTCAGCTTGTGGTGAATGCTGCCTCGCCTGGGACTCACCCTTTAGGACAGTGAATCCTCGGGCCCAGGGAAGGTCCAGAAATGCTATCTAAGAGCCAAGTCCTAGAATAAGGAGCCCAAGATCCTGTTTGGTACTCTACCTTTCTGTGGCTGTGCTGGTACCTAAGGTGCAAGACAAAGTTGCTCTTACTTTTTCCCGTTACTTTTCTCAAGTGGAAGAAGTCTTGTGCCCTAGCCACCACAGCTGGGAATGTGCTGAGTCTCTCCCAAAGCCAGCAGATTTCAGAGTCTCACCCAAAACCCTCAACGTAGTACTTGTGTATTGCTGCTGGTTATTCAGGGACCATGTGGTCTTGAGTTGGCAGGTGACAAATCCTGCTAGGACTGGGTTCTTCCTGTCAAGGCAGTGGGGTCCCTTCAGCCCAGGGTGTGTACAGAAATGTTGTCTGGGTACTAGGGCCTGGAAGGCGGGGGGCCTTGTGACTCTGACTGGTGCCCTGCTGTGGCTGAGCTGATATCCAAGAGGTAAGACAAAGTCCTTCCCACACTTCTCCCTCCTCTCCTCAAGCAGAGGGAAGGGGTTTCATTTGGAGCCATGAGCTGTGGGGAGGTTAGGGGAGAGGTGATGCTATCACTTCTTTAGCTGCCCTGGCTGGTGTCTCAGTAGGTCATGTGCTCCCCCATCCCCCAGGTCACTGGCTCTGGTCCCAGTTGAGCACTAGGATTCACCTAGGAGTTGCAGTTCTTGTGGCCTAGACTGCTTTTCAAGTATATTTAGGGCCCCCATATCACTTTAGCTCCTGGTGGCGGGGCTTGCAGGAAGTCAAGCTTGGACCACTGGGATCAGCAATTCCCCTCTGACTAGGGCTGGTTTAACTGATCCCTCCATGTGCGGGCATCAGCTGTGTTTGGTCTGGTTTTGTTTTAGGCTATGACAGGTCAGCATGAGTTCAATGCCCCAACATTGCATGCTCTCCCTCCCCAAGAACACAGAAATGCTCTCTGGACCACATTGCCTCTGTCAGGGGATGCAGGAGCAGTGGCTTTAGTGATTCAGGACTATTTTCCCTACCTCTTTATTGCCTCTTTGTGATATGAAATTAAAAACAGGTGCTGTGGGTACCCATTTGATTTTCACTTCTTATTCAGGTGCTTGTTGTGCAGATAGTTGTTAAATTGATGTCCTTGTGGGTATGGGGGATAATGGGTGCAGCCTTCTATTCCTGCATCCTGCTTCCTCAATTCTCCTGTATATATGGGATTCAAATTGAGCTTTGAAAAAATGATGGAAAAAGACTAGAGGCTATTCTTGATTACACAACACAAATAAAAGTGTAGCAAGGAGAATGAGTTTTGGGTATATGCTGGGACAGCATGGTATAAATAGATATCAAAGTGAGCTTGGGAACTTGGCTGTTCCGGATCTCCCCCATTTATCTATATTTACAAGGAAAGTTCAGCCATGTGGCCCGAGAAGCTGAAAGAAAGGGTTAGTTAGAAAAAAACAGGGCAAAAACGTGGAGATGACTCATGGTAGGAGAGTCCTCTCAGATGTCAGTATCATATTTTGGTTTCTTCCTGAGGCTATTATAATCTTGCCTTTGGTTTCTTTGACACACCTTGTTGGCATCATAGTTAATTCTTACTTTGACTTGAGGCACTTGAATTTAGTTTTAGTATTGTAATAAAAACCAGTCACACAGGTAATGTACTTTACTAAGGTCAAAAAAATTAAATTCTTAGCATGGCCTCAATGATTCCCAGCTTTTATTATGCCAGCTTCCCAATGTGAGGCAAGGTGCTCACATTGTCTTTTATCAGTTCACTGGGCACAACAAACTTGTATCCTTCTGAGGGTCCTTTTAGATAATGGTTCCATTTCCTTACACTTATTCCCCTCTTCTTTGTTGACTACTCCTACTTCAAAGCTTAAATGTTACTTTTTTAGACAGAACTTTCCTCGTAGTAATTCTAAGTTTGTTTTCTCTGTTATATTTATTACCATGTATGACTTTATATTTGTATGATGTATAGATACAACTATATATATTTGTTTTGTATATATGTATTTGTATATTTGTATTTGCATATGTATATATTTGTATATATGCATATACAAATATCTGTATTTGCATACATATATACATCTGTATGTGTATGTGTGTGTGTATATATGTGTGTGTATAAGCATATATACATATATATATATAAGTATATAGATAGAGAGAGAGAGAGAGATAGAGAGAGACAGAGAGACATGGGCTTCCTATATCACCCAGGCTGGAGTGCAGTGGCACAATGACAGCTCACTGCAACCTCGACCTCAAGGGCTCAAGCGATCCTCCCACCTCAGCTTCTTGAGTAGCTGGGATTGCAGGTGCATGCCACCATGCGCAGCTATTGTATGATATTTTAAAACCTGTCTTCCTATAAATTTATGAACAGCATACTTTTCATTAATTTTTATTTATAGAGTGCCTATAACATTGTGAATGTGCTCATACATATTTTTAATGGATAGATGAATGGATAGAGAAGTGAATAAATGTATGAGGAAAAGAAAGATACATTTTGTTATATTGATATGTAAGTATTATTTTTCAAGGATATTACAAATGCATTGTTTTCTTTTAACATTCAATTTTCAAATGTTTATAGTTGATATATAAGAAAGCAATTGACTTTTTTCTTTTTTTTTTTTTTTTTTTTGAGACAGAGTCTCGCTCTGTTTCCCAGGCTGGAGTGCAGTGGCGCAATCTCGGCTCACTGCAAGCTCCGCCTCCTGGGATCACGCCATTCTCCTGCCTCAGCCTCCTGAGTAGCTGGGATTACAGGCGCCCACCACCACGCCCGGCTAATTTTTTGTATTTTTAGTAGAGACGGGGTTTCACCGTGTTAGCCAGGATGGTCTCGATCTTCTGACCTCATGATCCACCCGTCTTGGCCTCCCAAAGTGCTGGGATTACAGGCGTGAGCCACTGTGCCCAGCCAGCAATTGACTTTTTATATATGGACCTTGTTTCCTGAGACTGTGCTTTACTTATATGTTAACTAAAGAAGCTTTCTCTTTCTTTTTTGGGAAAGGGAAGGGTGTTTAAATTTTCTACATAAACAATACTGTAATTTCCTTATCAAAAACAGTTTTATTTCTTCTTTCCAATTTGTATACCTTTCATTTCTTTTTTTCTTGTTTTCTTGTGCTATCTAGAGTTTCTAGTACAATATCAAATAGTATTGCTGAAAGAGGACATTCTCACCTAGTTTCCCATTTTATGTAAAAACCATCCAGTCTGTAATGAGTAAGTATGATGTTAACTGTACGTTTTTCATAAGTGTTCTTTATCAAGTTAGGGAAGTTCTCCTCCATTCCACTTTATTGAGGGTTGTTATTTGAATGGGTGCTGAGTGTTTCCCATTTTTTCATTGTTAATTGATTGTAATGTATGATTTTGAATATTTAGCCTGTTGATTTGGTAGATTACCTTCATTAATTTTTTAATGTAAACCCATCTTGCATACCTGAATTACTTTCCACTTGTCCATGGTTTATACTCTTATAATACATTGTTAGATTTGATTTGCTAATTTTTTGTTGAGGGTGTTTGCATCAAAAGTTCATGACAGATATTGATCTGTGCTTTTTCTTTCTTGTAATGTCATTATCTGGTTTCAGTATTGTAATGTTTTTAATCTATGACCTCATCAAATGGGTTAAGAAGCTTTTTTTCTGCTTCTAATTCCTGGAAGAGATTATGGAAAATTGGTATTATTTCATTTTTTTTCTGTATTTCTTCTAAAAAAAAAGCGGGGGGGGGATACATGTGTAGAACGTGCAGGTTTGCTATATAGGTATACATGTGCCATGGTGGTTTGCTGCACCTATTGATCCATTCTCTAAGTTCCCTCCCTTCATCCCCCATCCTCCAACAGGCCCTGGTGTGTGTTGATCCCCTCACTGTGTCCATGTGTTCTCAATGTTCAACTCCCACTTATGAGTGAGAACACGTGGTGTTTGGTTTTCTGTTCCTGTCTTAGCTTGCTGAGGATGTTGGCTTCCAGCTTCATCCATGTCTCTGCAAAGGACATGATCTAATTCCCTTTTTATGGCTGCATAGTATTCCATGGCATATATGTACCACATTTTCTTTATCCAGTCTATCATTGATGGGCATTTGGGTTGGTTCTGTTCCTCTATCTATCTATACATACACAAACACACATATGTATATATGTATGCAAATATATATTTGTATTTGTATATATATACAAATACATATATGCATATGTGAATATAAATATATATGTATAACATATACAAATATATATACAGTAGTATACATATATACATCATACAAATATAAAGTCATACATGGTAATAAATATAACAGACAAAACAAACTTAGAAGTACTGTGAGGAAAGTTCTGTCTAAGAAAATAAAACTTAAGCTTTGAAGTAGGAGTAGGAAAGATAGAAGAGGGGAATAAATGTAAGGAAATGGAACCATTATCTAAAAGGACCCTCAAAAGGATACAAGTTTGTTGTGTCCTTGAGAAAAGACAATGAACTGATAAAAGACAATGTGAGCACCTTGCCTCACATTGGGAAGCTGGCATAAAAAAGCTGGGAATCATTGAGGCCATTTTAAGAATTTTAAATTTGCTAGAATTCAACAGTGTAATAATTTGGCTCTGTTTTCTTTTCAGAGGTTATTTTAGTTGATTCAATGTATGTAGTAGATATGGGGTTTTGCATGTCATATAATTATCTCTTGTGAGTTTTGGCATTTTGTGCCTTTTAAGAAATTTATCTATTTAATTCATCATGTTTTTAAATTTATGGGCATACAGTTGTTCAGAATATCTTATTATTTTCCTCTTAATATTCTGAACAACTGTATTCCCACAAATTTAAAAACCTGATCAGTAATGATTATTCTTTTTTCATTTGTCTGATTTTTTATTTTCTTGTTTAGCCTGGCTACATGTTTATTAATTTAATGACTTTTTTGGTTTCATTAATTTTTTCTATAGCTTTCCTGTTTTCAATTTCATTGATTTTTGTTGTGTTATGTTTTCTTGACTTCTACTTACTTTTGGTTTATATTTCTGTCATTCCTCTAGCTTCTTAAAGTGAAAGTTTAGAATCTTAATTTTTAAATACTTCTTCTTTTCTAAAGTACATATTCAATGCTGTAAAATTCCCTCTCACCACTGCTTTTGTGCCATCCAAAAAGTTTAGTAGGTTACATTTTCATTCTTATTTAGTTCAAAATATTTTTTTCATTCATCTTGAGACTTCTTTTATCTATGTGAAGTTCAGAAGTATACAAATTAATATCCAAATATTTGGGAATTTTCCAGCTCTATTCCTAGTTTCCTATTCCTTGATTTCTAGTTTAATTCCGTTATGGTATTAGAATATACTTTGTAATATACTTTCCCTAATACAACGTTAACCTATGGCTTTATTGTACAAAATATAGTTCGTCTTATTCAATTTTGTTTTGAGTTTAAAAGAAACTCTATTCTGCTTCTGTTGGAGTATTCTAAAAACATCAGTTAGAACAAATTGACTGATAGTTCTGTTCATTTTGTCTATATCCTTACTGACTTTCTGCCTACATAATCTGTCAGTTACTGGCAGATGAGCATTGACGTTTCCAAATGTAATAGTAAATTTGTCTATTTTCAGTTTTAGCAGTTTTTCCTCATGTAGTTTGATTTTCTATTGTTAGGTTACATTATATTATCTTGGAGATTCAATCCTTTATAATTATTTTATGCCCCTCTTCATGCTAGATCTATTTTTGTTGTTCTGAAGTCTGCTGTGTCTGAAATAAATACAACTACTACACTTTAAAAAAAATTAGTGTTTGCTAATTACTATAACTTTCTTCTGTTGCTGAATGGTATAACTTTCCCTATTCCTTTGCTTTTAATCAATCTGTATCTTTATATTTAAAGTGGGCTTCCTGTAGACAACATATAATTGGGTTCTGGGGTGTTTTTTAATCCATTCTGATGATTTATTTTAATTTATATAATTAGATCATTGTTATGTAAACTGATTATTGAAATAGTTACATTAATATCAACATATGTATAACTTCAATTGTGCTTTTGTTTTTGTCTCCCAACCCCATTTATTTTCTTTCCCTAGCCTAAATTGAGCACTTTATAGGATTCAATTTTGCCTCATCTGTTAACCTATCTGTTATTATTATTATTATTATTTTACTTTTTGAGTGGCTGCCCTGATCATTTATGATATATATTTTCTACTAATCTCAGTCTTCAAATAATACTGTACCACTTCATGGGCAGAGCAAATACCCAATATCAGAGAATTCCCATTTTCTCCCTCCTATCCTTGTGACAATGTTGTTGGCTATATTCACCCAATACAATTTTACAATAATTACTTCATTTTATTTTTTTCATCTATAGGTTTTTATTAGAAAAGAAATTAAGTGTCGTCACTAGAGACTGCAAAAGGAAATTAACAATCTTACAATTCTAGAACAGGCAAACTTCATGATAAGGGATTCTTAAGTTTTCAAAGTGTGGGGGCTCCTTCACAGATACACAGTTGGTATAGTGGGCTGTAAGTTTTCTCAGATGTTTTACATTTCATGCTTTAATCTTTGCTGGTAGTCTAAATCAAATAAATACATCGTGTTCAGGATTATCTGGATAGCCATCTTAAATAGCAGAGTGTTCCGCATGACCACAGCCTCTGCGCTTGTGCCTCTGATCCGTGTGACACCAAGACCAACCATGCTTTTCATATGATTTCTCCAATTGGGTCCTGCGACCTTTCACAGAATTTTTGAACATTTCCTACGAGATCTGTGGAGGACAAGGTGGAGAACACTGGTTCAGAGCAGTGATTTTCAAGGTGGGATGGGATGCGATGGCGTGGAGTTGAGTGGAGAGATGCATGTAGTTTGAAAGAACACATTCAGAATACCCACTGATTTCATAATACAAACTCCAGAAAGTCAAGCAACAAAATGATTTCAGCTAACGGGCAGTAGCAGATAACCAACTATGGATTCATCATTGTGGAGAAGAAGTCAGGATAACCATAGTTGAAAAACGCTGGCTTAGAGGTAGAGACATGCCGACACATGGAGAACAGTAAGAAACGCGTGCCAAAGAGAACAAGTGAGGATCAGTGAGCGAATCCTGGGCCAGAACTTGTCACAGTCTTCTGAAAACCAAAGACCACATCCAGAAGAAAATCAAGATGGCCCATCAACCTTCTTGGCCCTGTGGTTAAGATCAAGTTGGTCCACTTTTAAATACGGAGCCAAAAGAGGAAAAAAGCTGTATGTGTCCCCAAATTCATCCACCAGGAAGTGCTGTCATCATATGTAATGCCATCCAGCTCTTGAGGAGGGACGTCAGCATGGGGCCTGCTCCGTGGTTACTGCAGAGCTCCAATCTGCTTTAGCCGCGTCAGCAGTTCCCCAATCTGTTGCATAGAGACTAGATCACTGCATCCGCCTATACAATCTTTACCGATAAAGACTCGAGGCACCATTCTCGCTCCTGTGAGCTGTTGCAAGTAATCTTGAATCTTGTTAGTGTGGTTGGAGGCTGTGATATCGACAAATTCCAGAAGCCTTTGTTTGGTGGACAATTGACTGAGGATCTCTTGGGCCCTCCTGCAGTATGGACAGGTGGGCTTGATGAACACAACCAGCTTCCCAGGCTGGATTTTGCAGTTCACGAACTCTTGAGCCATGCAGATGGGCTGCGATCTCCCCGGGAAGAATCCTCAGTTGCAGGTACTGCTTGGGGTATTGAGCCACGATAATTACTTTAAATAGTTATCTTTCAAATGAATTTTTAAAAATAAAAGATTTCACCTTCATTTATTCATTCTCAGATGCTTTTTTTTTCTTTATGTAGATCCCCGTTTCTGACATATATTGATTTTCATTTCCTGAAAAACTCCTTTATTTTTCTTGTAGGGTAGATCTGAGGGCTGTGAATTCCCCCCACTTTCTATTAGTCTCAGAAAGTCTTTATTTCTCCTCCATGTATGAAAAATACTTTCACTGAATATAGAATTCTAGGTCGGTGGGGATTTTCTCTCAATACTTTTAAGCATATCACTCCACTTTATTAACATTTACACCGTTTCTGACGAGTAGTCTTTTGTAATGTTTGTCCTTGTTCTTCCATTTGTAAGGTGTTCCTTTCCTCTAGATACTTTCAAGACTCTGTCTTTGGTTTTCTGCAGTTTGAATATGACATGCTTAGGGTGTGTGTGTGTGTGTGTGTGTGTGTGTGTGTGTGTGTGTGTGTGTATGCGTGCGTGCGTGCGCGCGCGCACATGCATGCGTTTTTCTGCTTGGTATTCTCCGAAATTCCTGAATTCCTTGTTCGGTCTGCCATTAATTTGAGGACACTTTCAGTCATTATTACATTACCTTCTTTAGTTGTATTCTCTCTTTCCTTTTCTTCTGGTATTCCAATTACTTGTATGTTTTACTTTTGAAGTTGTCTCACAGTTCTTAGGTGTTCTGTCATGTTTTATTCATTCATATTCTCTATGCATTTAGTTTGGGAAGTTTTTATTGACCTATTGTCAGGTTCACTGATTCTTTCTTCTGCTTTTTGAGTGTACCAATGATTCCATCACAGGCATTTCTCATTTCTGTTACATTTCCTTTTGATTTTTAGAGTTTCCATCTTGCTGTTCCTCTTACACATCTATGCCTGCATGTTGTCTACTCTTTCTGTTAAAGAATAAAGATTTTCATATGCTCATGACAGTTATTTTAAAGTCTTGTCTGATAACTCCAATGCCTGTATCATATCTGCATCTTTTTCTGATGATTTAATTGTCCCTTCATACCATGTTTTTCTTGTCTTTTGGCAGGCCTTATAATTTTTGTTGTTGTTTAAAACCAGGTATATTGTATCAGGTCATTGAAACTGAGTTACATAGGCCTCTTGTGTGCTGGTTTACGGTCATCAAGTTAGGAGTTACGCTGTGCTTAATGTGTGCTATAGCCATAGGTGTCAGAATTTCACATTCTGCTTCTGTCCTAGCTTTGTTTTCCTCTTGACTTTGGGCTTTTCTAAGCACTTCTTAGAGAGAATATGAGCTCTTCCAGCTCAAATTCATGATTATACTGGAGCCCTGTTGGTGTGATATGAAGGTTTGGGGGAGGGAAAGTATTCTATAATCTTCTGATTAAATCTCACTATTGTAATGTAGTGTAGTATGTTGGTGGAGTATAACATGCACAGATGTGTTTCTGGTGATATGACTATACTTTCTCTCCAGGGCCCTTTTCTCTGCCCCAGCTGCAGCAATGCCAATGTGTTTTTTGAAATCCTGGCCCCAGTTTGGTTTTTTTTTTCCTTCCTTAGAAGACACAGGAAGGATAAAGGGGGCTGGAGAGCGAGGCATGCCCTTAAAAGTCTTTTCTTCTGGAGGATACACCTTTTCTATGGAGGGGTTTCAGGGCTTATTTCACAGTGATTATGCTTCCTTTCCTGTTATTAAAACCACGACTAGATATTTCTACAATCTTCAATCTGGGAATCCTGTGGTGTTCCTGTATGTAAAGCCCACAAAAATGTGGGACCCTTCCCTCAGACTGCAGCTTCAGGGGCTTCTTACTCACATGCTAGTCCATATTTAACCTCCATCGTTTGTCAAAATTGTCATTTACATGTTCCTATCAGTTTATGTTTCTAGCAGCTATTGCCTCAGGTAAGCAGATCTCAGCTGCATATCACTAAATGATCCTTTCTCCCCAGATTTTGGGATGGTGGTTTGTCATGCAGTCTTTGTCCTTTAATGGGTCAAAGAAAAAATATTGATTTTCAATTTGTTCAGCTCTATCTTATTGTAATGATGGGAAATACAACTTTCAAGTCATTTGCATGTCAGAGCTGAAATTTGAAGTTATTGCTTTATTTTAAATTATTATTTTGAGATATTTGTAAATACACATGCAGTTTTAAGAAAAGAGGGCTAAGAATCTCTCAATGATAACATTTTGCAAAACATTTTTGCAAGACATCACAGACAGGATATGATGATGATATAAGCCAGTTATTTTATTCAGATATGTCCAGTTTTACTTCTACTCATTTGTGTTTGTGTGTCTTCATGTATGTGTGTGTGTCTGTGTGTATGTGTGTGTAGTAAACTCTATGCAGTAGTCTCCCCTTATCCCTTGTCCATAGTTTTGCTTTCTGTGGTTTCAGTTACCTGTGGCCAACCTTGATTTGAAAACATTAAATGGAAAATTCCAGAAATAAACAATTTCATAAGTTTTTTAAACTTTATTTTAGGTTCAGGGATACATGTGCATGTTTGATATATTGATAAATTGCTTATCACTGGGGGTTTGGGGTACACCTGACTTTGTCACCAAGGTAGTGAGCATAGTATCAAGCCTACTTGATCATGGTAGATTAGCTTTTTGTCGTGGGGCTGGATTTGATTTGCTAGTATTTTGTTGAATAATTTTTGTGTCTACATTTATCAACTTCATCCTGAAGTTTTCTTTTTTTGTTGTGTTTCTGCCAAGTTTTCCTCATGGAAAGAGTTAGGTAGGAGTCCCTCCTCTTCAAGTTTTTGGAATACTATCAGTAGGAATGATAACCAGCTCTTCTTTATATTTCTGGTAGATTTCACTTGTGAAATCATCTGCTCCTGGGCTTTCTCTGGTTGGTAGGCTTTTCATTACCAATTCAATTTCAACTCAGTTTTGAATTACCAGTTCAACTTATCATTCTGTTCAGGCATTCAATTTCTTCCTGGTTCAATCTTGGGAGGTTGTATGTTTCTGGGAATTTATCCATTTCTTTTAGGTTTTCTAGTTTGTGTGCATAGGCATGTTCATAGTAGTCTCTGAGGGTTTTTTGTATTTCTGTGGGGTTGGTGATAATGTCACTTTTGTCATTTCTGATTGTGTCTATTTGAGTATTCTCTCTTTTATTCTTTATTAGTCTAGCTAATTGCCTAGAAATCCTATTTATTCTTTCAAATAAAAAATTTTTGGATAATTGATCTTTTTTATGGTGTTTTGTGTTTAAATTTCCTTTCAGTTTAGCTCTTATTTTGATTATTTCTTGTTTTCTGCTAGCTTTGCAGTTGGTTTGCTCTTGTTTCTCTAGTTCCTCTAGGTGTGATGTTAGGTTGCTAATCTGAGAACTTTCCAACTTTGTGATGTGGGCATTTAGCACTACAAACTTTCCTCTTAACACTGCTTTAACTGTGTCCCAGAGATTCCAGTATGTTTTATCTGTGTTCCATTAGTTTCAAAGAATTTCTTGATTTCTGCTTTAATTTCATTATTTACTCAAGTTATTCAGGAGCAGGGGGTTTAATTTCCTTGTAATTATATAGTTTTGAGCAAGTTTCTTAGTGTTGATTTCTATTTTTAATTGAGCTGTAGTCTGAGAGTGTGTTTGGTATGATTCAAGTTTTTCAGAATTTTCTGAGAATTGTTTTATGTCTGTGTGATCGATTTCAGAACTTTTAATAGTATGCTGTACTAAGTAGCTCAAGGAGATCTTGCTCCCTCCTGCTCCATCTCTGTCCAGCATATCCACACCATATATATGCTACAGGCCCATTGCTTACTTAGTAGCCATCTTGATTATCAGATTGAATGTCAAGGCACTGCAGTACCTGTGTTCAAGACATCCTTATTTTACTAAGTGATAACTCAAAAGAAACAGAAAGAAAAATATTGCATGTTCTCATGTAAAAGTGGAAGCTAAATAATGTGTATACATGGATGTAGAGTGTGGAATGATAGACAATGGAAACTGAAAAGAGTGGGAGGATGAGATGGGGTAGAAGATGAGAAATTACTTAATGGGTAAAATGTACATAACCTCAGAGATGGATATGCTGAAAGCCCTCATTTCACCACTTTGCGATATATCCACATAACAAAATTATATTTGTATGCCATAAATTTATAAAAATAAAATAATTTTTTAAATTGTCCCAGAGTGCAAAGGTGGTGATGCTGACATGTTGTTATAACGATTTGATTTTGTTATCAGCTCTTATTGTTAATCCCTTACTCTACCTAATTTAAAAATTTAATTTTATCATAGGTATGTATGCATAGGAAAAAATATATATATACAGGGTTTTATACTATCTGGGGTTTCAAGCATCCACTAGAAATCTTAGACAATACCCCTCATAGTTAAGGGGAGATTACAGTACAATATTATTAACTGTGTAAGTTTGTGTATCTACTACCAACATCAAGATACTGACTGAACAGTTCCAGCACCACAAGAACATTTATGTTGTACTTTTATATCCACATCAACCTCCCTGCTTACTAACTTTGTCCCCTAAGTCCTGAAAACCATAAATCTGTTCTTAATTTCTAGAATTTGTAGGTTTTCCAAACAGTGTGAAATGAAATTGTACAGTATGCAGTCTGGGACTGACCATTTTCACTCATTGTAATTCTGTTTGCATTTACACAGGTTGTGGCACATATCAGTATTTCATTCTTTTATATATGTATTTGGTATCACTTAAGAAAATTCCATGGTATGTGTGTAGCACGATTTAATTAACCACTTACCCACTGAAGAACATCACTACTGACTCCTGTTTGGAAGTATTACAAATAAATCTTCCAGGAAAATTTATGTACATTGTGTGTGTTTGTGTGTGTGTGTGTGTGTGTGTGTGTGTGTGTATGTTTTCATTATTTCTGGGCTAAATATTGACAAGTACAATTGCTGGGTTTTTGTTAAATGCATGTTTAGTTTTATAAGAAACAGATACAGTTTTCCAGAGTGGCTGTACACTTTTACCTACCCATGGGGATTTTTGGGTTATCATGATCCAGTTTCTTTGCGTCCTTGTCAGAATTTGGTGTTTTCCCTGTTTCTTAATAGGTCTGTGGTGATATATCATTGTAATTTTAGTTTGCATGTTCTAATGGCTAATTAAGATAAATGTATGTCACCTGCTTATCTGCCAATGACATATCCTATTTGATATGTTTATGTCTTTTGCCCATTTTTGAAGTTATATACAACTTATTTTATACTTTGTTGGATTTTTTTTAAACTAAGGATGTCTTGCTTTCCTCTTTATTCCTGAAGAACAATTTCATGGAGTATAGAATTTATTGATAACAAGTCTTTGTTTCTAGTGCCTGATAAATATGTGCTCCTTCCTTTTCTCTTCTGGTTTGAGAACTATGAGGCACCAGAACTATCACCTGGTGTGGGGCAGAGGATGAATCAACCAGTCGAGGTTCCACCATTGCCACTCCAACTCAGCAAGGATCAGCCCCACTGTTGTCAGCAGGTATGGGTGAGGTAGGTGCTGGTCCCTGAACTCTGCTGGTAACATGGCTATAGGCAGATCAGGCCTGCGGCTACTGGCATGTGTCCAGCATGGGATGGATCAGGTCATCTGGGTTCTACTAGTGCTGTTCTTGCAGGCAGATCAAGCCCACCACAGTTACTGAGTATAAGTGTCCTCATTAAGCACCTTCTAGGCTTCCCCTTTGCTGATGCTTTAGACAGAGAGAGGGACATTTCCTTTTTTGTTATTTTTATGTCTGTTGGAGTTCTGAATTGCAGGTCTTTCTTGTGCCTAGGATGAGAAACATGGGAATTAAAAAAAAAAAAGCAAAACAAAACAAAAAAACTAGGAATTCACTGTGGTGTCATTCTTTAAGCCCTTGGTTCATAGGCCATGAACAGCCTAGCTGCTTTCCATATTTTAGAGTCCTTTTATGAATAACTATAGAATTATTTTCAGGGTATTCAGTTGTTAGAATACCCTAACAACTAAATACCCTAAAAATAGAGAATTATTTTCAGGTTATTCAGTATTAGAAGGGAAGATCAGGGAATAGAGAATATGTGCTATCATGCTCCAGAACTTTTCTTTTCTTTTCTTTTTTTTTTTTTTTTGATGGTCTCCTTACTGTCTATCAGGTTTTTAATGTATTAATAGGTGTATTTGCCTTCCCATTGTCCTTTGGTGTATTTAACCTGTTTCTATCCCAGGACCATAATTATTTTAATGAAAATGGTTTTGAAGTTATATCTCAATATATAGTAGGATAGTATCCATGTTCAGTTAGACTTTGTATTTACTGTGGATAAGGGAAATCTACATAAATAATGCAAATCTATATATAGTAAAGTATTTTTCCCAGGTAATAGGAGGTCTGAAAGATATCAAACCCTGACATTAATTCAGTAATTCTGTAATGTCAATGTCAAGTTCTGTGTGGTTTTTTTCGGACTTTTCCACTTGGTGTTAAGATGACTGGTCAGGCTCCAGCTCTGAAGTCAGCAATTCCAGAAGAGAACAAAGGACAAGAGGGGAACAAAGAGAAGAGGGGAAATAAAGCTTTCCCCTCAGATTGGAGACAAAAAGGATATACATCTCACCACTCTTATTTAACATGGTGATGAAACTTCTATTCAGTGCAACAAGGCAAGGAAAGGAAACAAAAGACATATGGTTGGGAAAGGAAGATGTAAAACCATGCGTATTTCCAGATGATATGATAGTCTATGTAAAAAGTCTCAAAGAATCTACAAAAAAAAACTGAGCATTCATGAGTTAAGCAGTCACAGAACACAAGATTAACATGCAAAATGCGATTTCTTTTAAAAAATACAACAGCATTTAGCATTAATACAGATATTAAAATGTAGTATTATTCTTAATTTCTCAAAATGTAAGTACTTAGCACTAAATCTACTAAAAATCTTCAGGACTTATGCTGAAAAGTACACAACTCTGATGAAAGAAATAAAATATCTAAATAAATAGAGGGACACAGAGTTTTCGAGGATTTGAAGGCTCAACATGAAGAATTAGTTCTCTCCGAACTGACACAGAGATTTAACACAAAATCATATAAAATCTTAGCAATAATTTAATAAACATAGACAAGCTTATTGTAAAATTTATATAAAAAGCAAATAAACTAGAATAGCTAAAGCAATCTTGAAAACAAGAAAATAAAGTGGATATAGTCTACCTTTTCAAGACCAAATATATATACAAGTGTAGTAATCATGACTGTATGAAATTGCTGGAGAGATAGACACATACATCAATGGAACAGACTAGGAAACCCAGAAATAGACCCACAGATATAGCCAAATGATTTTTGAAAAGATGTTAAAACAATTCAGTGAAGAAAGTATAGCGTTTTCAATAAACGGTGCTGGAGCAATTGGACATCAATATGGAACAACTGAAACTTTATCTACAACTCATGTGTTATACAGAAATTAGTTCAAAGTAGAGCACAGATTGAAATGTAAAATGTGCAATTGCAGGACTTAAACAATAGGAGAAAATCTTCAAACCTAGGGCTAAGTAAATAGTTCTTAAACTTGAAACCAATCAATCCACGGGGAAAAAAGAGTATATAAATTGGACTTCCTCAAAACTAAAAATATTTTTGTGTAATAGACTCTGTTAATAAGATGAATGGACAAGCTAAAGACTGGCAGAAAATATTTGCAAACCACATATCAGAGAAAAAGAATACCGTCTAAACTATATAAAAAACTCTAAGAAATATACAAGAGAAAACTCAACCAATCTAATTGGAAAATAGGCAAAAGACCTGAACAGACATTTCACCAAAGAGGATAGATAGATGGCATGTAAACACGTGAAAAGATGTTCAACATCATTAGCCATTAAGAAAAATTAGATTAAAACCACAGTGAACTATCACTACACATCTGTCAGAATGGTTAAAAATTAATATTCACAAATAGTGACAACATCAGACATCAGTGAGGATGCAGAGCATCTGAACCAGTCACACATTATTGTTAGGAATGTAAAATAGTACGGACTCTCTAGAAAACAGTTTGGTGGTTCCATTAAAAACAATAATGAGCATACAGCCCAGCAGTTGCATTCCTGTGGCATTTATCCAGAGAAATTGAAACTTATGCACGGAAACCTGCACATGAATGTTTGTAGCTGATTTAGTTATACAGGCTACAAGTTTGAAGCAACCTCATTGTTCTTCAACTGGTAAATATTTAAACAAGCTGTGATCCTACAAATCTTGCGTTACTACTTGGCAATAAGAAGGAAAAAAAAACTATTGATGAATTTAACAACCTGAATAATCTGCAGAAAATTATGCTGAGTGAAAAACAGCCAATCTCAAAAGGCTATATACACTGTGGTTTAATTTAGATGACATTCAAGAAATGATAAGATTACAAAAAATAGAGCAGATTATTATTTTCCAGGTGTTAAGGAGGGGTTGGAGAAGGGAAGGGAGTGTGCCCTCAAAAGGGCTACATGAATGATCCTTGTGGTGATGGAGATATTCTATGTCTTCATTTCATCAATGTTAGTATTCTGGTTGTGATATTGTACAGTAGTGATGCCACATGTTCCCATTGGGGGAAATTTGGTAAGGAGCAAATTTGGTAAGGAGCACATAGGATCACTCTGTATAATTTCTTATAACTGCCTGTGAATCTATGGTTATCTCAAAACAAAAAAGTTAATTTAAAAAAATGTCAAGAAATATGTCACTCAAATGCAATATAAGAATTCTTAGCATCCTGACTTAAAAATCAAAAAGCAAAAAGCTTCTCAAAGGATTTTGTGACAATTAAGTAATCTGAATATAGACTAGTTATTGGATGACCCCAAAAGAACTAGTGTCATTTTATTAGATGTGGCAATGGCAGTATGGTTATGAAATAAAAAAGAAGCAGTGGGTTATGTAGTCAAGAAGCATATTGCAGTACTAGGGTGAAATGAAAGTGACTTGGTTTGAAATACATTCCCCAAAATTATAAAAGTGTATGCGGAAGGTTAATTAAACAAGATTGAAAATATTTGCAATATAAAGTGGTATATAAACTATTTTCTAGTTTTGTGTATCTTTCAAACTTCCATTAAAAAAAAAAAACTAAAAGAAAAGATTGGATTACAGTCAATTCTCCAATCACCCTGTGCCCCGGCTGACTTTCTTTTCCCACAGCAAAGTACAACTTTCTTCTTTTTCTAAAGTGGTTTCAGAGTCTTTATGTAAGTTTTTCAGATGCTCCCCTGCACGTTTTTTTTTTTTAAACTGCTGTAATAGCTCTAGAATTGGACTGTGGCAGGCAGCCAGAAACTTGTATCCTTCTCTTTATTGCTGTACAGACTCTCCTGTAACACCAAGTGTGTTGAAATTTTTGGACTTTATTATTCTTAATTTTTCTCTTAGCTTTTTGTTTGTTTGTTTAGTCATTTTGTTTTCCTGAAAGATTCCCTGAATTCAATCTTTAAGGTCACTACTTCTTTCTGTAATCAATGAGCTGTAGTCAATCTATTGTGTTTTATTTTAACCAAAATATTTTAAGTTTAGTATTTCTATTTAGCATTTTAAAATAGCAAATTGTAAACAAATAAGCAATAAATGAAATAATGAAACAATAATCTATTTTTATTTTATTGCTGTAGTATCCACTGTTATTTCTCTGAGGTTATATGGCATGTTAAATTTTCTGTTGTTTTGTTTTAGTAATGTTTTTCTCAAATCTTCATTCTTCTATTTGTTAATTACATGACTCTTTTTCTTGGTTTTATTTTTTCTACCTGAAAATGTGTTTTTATTTCTGCTGGTAGTTATCACTTTTGTATCTGAGGTTCCTTTTGTATCTGAGGTTCCATTTTCCTGTGTCTAGTTTCAGTTTCTGTTTACAAAATCCATAATCCTATCTTTTTTCTAATTTCCAATAATTTGTCAAGATTTCATATTTGCTCATGGAGCTTGAGATGGAGCATATGTGTCCAGACTACTTTGACCTTAATATCTCGATTCCTGTTGTGGAACTCTTTCTCTCTCTTTCATATACACTAACACACACACACACACACACACACACACACTCTCTTACTTAGACATAAAACTTAGGCCACAAATTAGGGTGTGCAAGTAGGAAAAGTTCAAACATTTTCTACTACTGAATTTGATTTCCCCTTCAATTATACACTTTACTGGGTAAAAAACCCAAATCTCAATGAAATCAGTCTCTCCCTATATTTAATGAAGTTATATCTGAATTATGAGTGTCTGGGGTAGTACAATGCTGGGAGGAAAGGATTGGGAGGTGAGCTTCTGGCTCTTCTATCCAAGTTGCCTTCTGCTGCAATGTGCTGTGGTTTATCATATCCTTTGTTTTATGTTCCAATACTGTTTGATAGAAATATGATGCAAGCCACAACTATGAGCTGCCTATGCAATTTTAAATACTGTACTGTCCAAATTAGAAAAGTAAAAAGAAACAGATGAAATTTATTCTAATCATACACTTTATTTAACCCAGTAAGTCTAAAATATTATTTCAACAAGTAATCAATATGAAAAATTAGTAATGAGTTAGGTTATATGTTTGTCATATTAGTTCTTTGAGATATGGTGTGAATTTTATAGTTAGAACACTTTCTAATTCGCACAGGACACATTTTAAATGCTCAGTAACTGCTTGTATTTAGTGGCTCCCATGTTGGACAGCACACGTTCTATCCATACAGACGGGTAAAACCTGCAGTGCATCTTGTTTATTCCAGATCTGTTCCCTATAAGATATATCTAAGTTCTTCTGAGACATTCAGGACTTTTTCCTTGTAGATGAATAAATCTCCAATAGGGGTTTTCCTTAGGGCAAAAGTTTAATCGAAAAGTGATAGAAGCTGAGGCATAGATAATGCATGGAGTCAGAAACAGAACTTCCTGCATCACCCTTTTTTAGGACAGATAAAAAATATGTTGATTGTTGATTATGGTATGGGAGGTTCAAAGAACTAGACTAGATTATGGGTCTATCTTGAGAGTCCCCTGAAAGAGGTTTCAACTTCTGTTTTTATCAATTTCAGAGTCTGGTCATAGCAACAAGAATGTTAGAATCCCAGGGTAGATTGGGAACATAGGGGCAAAAGCCCCATGTAATCCAGGTGAGTGCTGGTGCAGTTTCCCCCAGCCTACTGTATACAGAAAAATGTTTCCACAGGTCTACAAAGGATTAGGGATATAGCCGAGACCTTGATTTAGAAGCAAGTCATGACACACTCTCTGGCGTTGATGCTCATAGAGGAATGGTTGGGCTGACACAGACTGCAACAGAGGCAGTCATGGAAAGATGATGACCCCCCCACTCTCTGGTCATTAAGTGAGCCAGGAAAATCTTAAGTCCAAACCCGGTAAAAACTTGGAGATTTATCCCTTAATTAACTAAAATTTCAATTTCACTATATGGAAAAATGAGAACTAGAAATGAAAAATAAGAGAAAAGCAAAGTTACTGTCACCATATTCTTTATATCACATAGGCGGTAGCTGAGTTTCACAGAAAGATCTTGATGATATGTTCTGAAATGTATCCTTTTTTATAGTCCTCTTTCACACTGAACCTGGACTGGACTGGTTCCTCACTTTAGCCAGTGAAATGGGGCACAAGTGACCCCATCTCAGTTCAAGGTCTAAATCTAAAACAGTCTGAAAGCATCTGCTTTAGTAATCTTGGCAGCCCTGAGCTACTATGTAAGAATTCTGGCTACACTGCTGGGGGATGACATGCAAGGCATGGGGAGAGCAGAGTCCCTGAGGACACATGGAGGTGGACCAGGAAACCCAGTAGATGGGAAGAACCAAGGCCTCAGACGTATGACCTCAGTGAAGTCTCTCCAGCTGGCTCCTGGTTGTTTGAGTGATTCTTGCTGAGGTTCCAGAGGTGTGAATGAAAAAGCTATCTTGTCCTCATAGTCAACATGTGGAATACACTAAGCAGTCTCTGATAAGCCCTGTCTGAAGCTTCAACCCAGGAATCATGAGAATAATGAAATTGTGGTTGTTTTAAGTCAATACACTTTGAGGTAGTTTGTTGCACAGCAATACACACCTAAAGAAACATGTTGATATTAAAACATTGTAACTGAGAGGAGTGGGCGGAATTGATAGTTAATCATATCTTCTCTCTTCTCGCCTGTGCTTCTGTTGCCTGTGGACCAGTATTAACTGTAAAATAGTATTAAAGCTAAGATAAAAGTAAGCTTGTCTATAGGTAATCTTGACCAAAATACTGAGTAAACACGATTGCAATCTTGCAACTGTATTCAGCTGATTGTAGAAAAGCTTTCCTTTATGGCTTATTCCTCCAAAGAGTTGATCTGTGTCTCTATGAGGTAAATCATGTTTGCATGCATGCTGCAAGGAAGAGCCTCTCCCTTGGAAGGAGGTTCTGTGATTTTTCAGTCCTATCTATAATTCGTGGCTCTGATATTATAAAGCAATTAAATACTCCAGTGGTTTCATCCCTTTGTCTTTCACTATTTAGTTTTTTAAATTAAATTTAAACTAAAAATTAGATGTAAAACATCAATCTTATATAAAAGAATGTAAAATCATTTTTATTTGAAATCAAGCTAGAATTTTTGGCTCCCATAATTTTCCTCCTACTACCTTCATGTAACATTACTGGAGTTGGAGACTATCAACTCCAGACATTTATTTTGGTAATTTTTCTACATATATATGAATCCACAAACCATATTCATTACTACTTTGTGCATTTTAAAGTATTGAATAAATAACATTTTATGACATGTACTCATGCAGAAATAGTTTATTCAAGCTTCTGTGTAATATTTCATTGCATTAATAAACCATATTTTGATTTTTTCAGTCCCCTACTGAGTTATACTTAATGTATTTCCACTCTTTCAATATATCAAGCATTGTGAAAGTGAACATCTTTGTAATTGTTTAACCTTGCAAGTTCTTTAGTGTTTTTCTGCAATAGACACCCTTAAAGTAAAATTGCTCTATCATGGGTAAATTTATTTCAAATTGTTATTGCCAAATGTCTTTTGAAAGAGGTTGTATCAATTTACCAATAATATACAAGACAAATTTATTAGTAAGGTATAAGATAAAATTTCCCCCTAACATTCTATCCAAATTTAAGGTTTCAAGCACATTAATTTGTCAAACTGATGTGTAAAATTTTTCTTTAAATTGTCACTTTTTAAATTACTAATGTGGTTTGACATAATTTCATATTCATTTGCCGTTTAAGTTCAATTTTATGTTTCATATAATTTATCTATTTTTCTATTGAACTATCTTTTTGATTTGTAGTTATTCTTAATTCTGGTTCCAAATTCTTTTCAGTTTAATGATTTGCCAATATCAGTCCCTGTATGTGGATTGAATTTTCAATTTGTTTTGACATACAGACATTTTATTTTATGGTTTATGATTTTAATCTCTTATTTACAAATTGTTTCCTATACTGATGTTACAACTTTGTTGTAAGTCATAAGAGTTATTTCATTGATTTACTGGGTTGAGACAAATCAAAATGAGAATCCAGGATTAATTCATTTTAAACGTATTGCCTGGCCATTATTTCAATTTAAAATAATTTAATATTAAAAGTTTGACATTTCTAAGTAAGTAAAATTCAGCCTCACTTAAAAATGTTGTCAAGTGGCTATTCCTTAAAATTCTGCCTGAACGACTAAAGTGTTACGTAAAGGGGATATGAGTTGTTTAAACAAGGGCTGAGAAAATATACGTATATTTATTAGACTACATATCTCTTACAACACATTTCTAATATTTCTATACATTTTTATTTAAAGAATAAATTAAAAATACTGCTCATGGTTTGAGGACAGAATAAGACCAAGCTAGCTATGCTAAAAAAACCCATAAATTCCATGTTAGTGGATTCCAGCTGGATAAACTGCGGGGTGTCTTGATTCACCAGTTTCCAAGCTTGATAAAGTGACATTGAAAAGGAGTTGGCATTAGCCTGTTTGTGTCCACCTAAATAGTACATTTGACATCCCACAGATACTTTTATTTAAGCTGGATTAAATCAGAATTCCAGTGGAAGCAGTAATGCCAGAAAATTGTGTGAATGACTATGTATAGGATTGAGCTTTTTCTTAGAAAAATGAAGTTTTTTCATTGTCAGATATCTTGAGAACATGTCAGTCATGTGGCAGAAAAATGAAAACTCAGGAGGAAAGCTTCATGTTGTAGTGAGATAAAACTTCCTCCTCTCTATGGATATGAGCCAAATTATGCTCCAAAACGTGGAGATTCCTAGAGTATTTCCCATGGCAGGAGTGGGGGTTGAGCTTCTCCTGGGGATGTGGAGACAGCGTGGAGCAATGTAGATAAACAGCCCAGGCAGAGATCCTGGGGAGAAGCTGAAACTTCATCTATGTGTTAAGCTTCCTTGACATTATCTCAAGCTTTAAGTTAATTATTATAAGAAAGAAGAGCCTGGACTCTTCCACAATGTAGTGGATGGAAACAAAGGGCTTCCCCCATGCTTGGGTTGAAGTAGGAAAGTGGAAAAGGGGGGATTTTTCACTGAGTTTATGAAGGTGGGTAGTGGGATGGTCACTAAATGCTGCAGATCTTCATGTGGAACTTTGCAACAGCAGCAACAGTTTGGGAGTAGAACCAGGATATCACAGTGAATGACCTGCTCCTGAGGACAAGTAAGTATCAACCCGGGACCTCTCAGAAATAGTATACACTTACAGGGAGATGAATTTTAGCCTTTAAGCAAATGAGAGCTGGTGGTATGAAAATGTGTATTTCATGAGATTTTTCTGCACTGGACTTTTCCCCATACTGACTTACTTTTTATGTAAAGCAAAGTCTGGGCTAGAGTTTACCAGTCTCATTTCTGAGTTTCCTGTAAGCCCCATCTTCTCTACAGAATCTTCACACTGCATCTTCCTAGTCTACACCTGCTATTTCTTTCATTTCCGCAGTTCATAACAGCTCTGCAAGTGTGAGAGGCATCTTAACACACTGGTAAGTGGCAGAAATTCCAAGGTTGGGAATGGGGAGGAGGGAAGAAAAAATGAAGAAAGGGAGGGAGGAGATAATCACATAGATTAGCCTCACTTACTAAAAATAAGATGTGTGATACTCTGAAAAGTAGAGAATTTAACTGCAGAATCCAAATTTCTAAATGGAATGTGTCTCTCTAGGACATGAGATTTTGCAAAAGAAATGAATAACAAATATCAAAGATTTCAGACTCCATGGGCCCATTTTACATTAAATCCACACTATATAGAAAAATTTATCATCTATCCTGACATGAATGGACAAGCATGATAATCTATTTTAATTCAAAAAGCAAGTACTTAAGCTTTTAGTAAGAAATGCATCGTGGTTCTGCCCTTTGTCCCTCACCTGCCACTTTCTGAAGAAGCTCTACCCTAGTGTTGAGTGTTGTGTTAAACTGTTACACACTGAAGTGTGATGCTGCATGAATTATATTGAGTGGTAGGGTAAGAACAGAGCTACACTTTTGTTGCTTGGGGTGGTGGGATGCTATTTCTTTAAGTCATTACATTACAAAGGACTTTATAATGTATTTACACATATATTACACACTTTGTAATATATGTAATATATTTACATGGATTCTACATAAAATTAAATTTAAGGAAAAGGCAAATTCAGTGGGCATGTGAATAACACAACCATAGTTAGGGGTTTTTGCTTCCAAATGAATTGAATATTTCCACTCTTTTTTATTATACTTTAAGTTTTAGGGTACATGTGCACAACGTGCAGGTTAGTTACATATGTATACACGTGACATGTTGGTGTGCTGCACCCATTAACTCATCATTTAATATTAGGTATATCTCCTAATGCTATCCCTCCCCCCTCCCCCCACCCCGCAACAGGCCCCAGTGTGTGATGTTCCCCTTCCTGTGTCCATGTGTTCTCATTGTTCAATTCCCACCTCTGAGTGAGAACATGCGGTGTTTGGTGTTTTGTCCTTGTGATAGTTTGCTGAGAATGATGGTTTCCAGCTTCATCCATGTCCCTACAAAGGACATGAACTCATCATTTGTTATGGCTGCATAGTATTCCATGGTGTAGATGTGCCACATTTTCTTAATCCAATCTATCATTCTTGGACATTTGGGTTGGTCCCAAGTCTTTGCTATTGTGAATAGTGCTGCAGAAAACATACGTGTGCATGTGTCTTTATAGCAGTATGGGACGTATCTCAAAATAATAAGAGCTATCTATGATAAACCCACACTCAATATCATACTGAATGGGCAAAAACTAGGAGCATTCCCTTTGAAAACTGGCACAAGACAGGGATGCCCTCTCTCACCACTCCTATTCAACATAGTGTTGGAAGTTCTGGCCAGGGCAATTAGGCAGGAGAAGGAAATAAAGGGTATTCAATTAGGAAAAGAGGAAGTCAAATTGTCCCTGTTTGCAGATGAAATGATTGTATATCTAGAAAACCCCATCATCTCAGCCCAAAATCTCCTTAAGCTGATAAGCAACTTCAGCAAAGTCTCAGGATACAAAATCAATGTACAAAAATCACAGGCATTCTTATACACCAATAACAGGCAAACAGAGAGCCAAATTATGAGTGAACTCCCATTCACAATTGCTTCAAAGAGAATAAGATACCTAGGAATCCAACTTACAAGGGATGTAAAGGACCTCTTCAAGGAGAACTACAAACCACTGCTCAATGAAATAAAGGAGGATACAAACAAATGGAAGAACAGTCCATGCTCATGTGTAGAAAGAATCAATATCATGAAAATGGCCATACTGCCCAAGGTAATTTATAGATTCAATGCCATCCCCATCAAGCTACCAATGACTTTCTTCACAGAATTGGAAAAAACTACTTTAAAGCTCATATGGAACCAAAAAAGAGCCCACACTGCCAAGTCAATCCTAAGCCAAAAGAACAAAGCTGGAGGCATCAAACTACCTGACTTCAAACTATACTACAAGGCTACAGTAACCAAAACAGCATGGTACTTGTACCAAAACAGAAATATAGACCAATGGAACAGAACAGAGCCCTCAGAAATAATGCCACATATCTACAACCATCTGATCTTTGACAAACCTGAGAAAAACAAGCAATGGGGAAAGGATTCCCTATTAATAAATGGTGCTGGGAAAACTGGCTAGTCATATGTAGAAAACTGAAACTGGATCCCTTCCTTACACCTTATACAAAAACTAATTCAAGATGTATTAAAGACTTAAATGTTAGACCTAAAACCATAAAAACCCTAGAAGAAAACCTAGGCAATACCATTCACAACATAGGCATGGGCAAGGACTTCATGTCTAAAACACCAAAAGCAATGGCAACAAAAGTCAAAATTGGCAAATGGGATCTAATTCAAGTAAAGAGCTTCTGCACAGCAAAAGAAACTACCATCAGAGTCAACAGGCAACCTGCAGAATGGAAGAAAATTTTTGCAATCTACTCATCTGACAAAGGGCTAATATCCAGAATCTACAAAGAACTCAAACAAATTTACAAGAACAAAACAAACAACCCCATCAATAAGTGGGCAAAGGATATGAACAGACACTTCTCAAAAGAAGACATTTATGCAGCCAAAAGACACATGAAAAAATGCTCATCAGCACTGGCCATCAGAGAAATGCAAATCAAAACCACAATGATACCATCTCACATCAGGTAGAATGGTGATCATTAAAAAGTCAGGAAACAACAGGTGCTGGAGAGGATGTGGAGAAATAGGAACACTTCTACACTGTTGGTGGGACTGTAAACTAGTTCAACCATTGTGGAAGTCAGTGTGGCAATTCCTCAGGGATCTAGAACTAGAAATACCATTTGACCCAGCCATCTCATTACTGGGTATATACCCAAAGGAATATTTCCACTCTTAAGTGAGAAACTGTTGTGTTCATAGTCACCTCCCCCTTTAGAGTAGTGGTCTCTGGTGGATCTCAGCGTGAGCTAAAAAACACAAAGGCACAACAAGTTTTTGGGAATTTGGACAAGTGTTTTGTTATCATGAAGTCAGTTTGTACAGAAGTAAGCATGGCGCTCTCAAGTTTATCTTAGAGGGATATATTTAACCCAGGTTTATAAGAATCTTCCAGAAAGTACTTCACCACAGGAAATAGCAGGAAGGGGCAATTGTGGATTATGTTTTTTTCTGAGTCACATATACCTTAGAATATTTAAGAAAGAAAGCATCTTGAGATGTTTGCCTCTAAGCATCTTACTCTTTTATATCCCAAGTTGTCTAACTTTGGAGCTACGGGGAGAATCTGGGTCCCTATCAGAACTATAAAATATTAGAAGCAAAAGAGACATGCAAAATTAGTAGCGGTGTTCCAGAGTAACTGGCTAAACTAGTGATTTTAAAATATTTTTCAGTGTGATACACTATTAAAATGTATTTTATATCACAACCCGATATACACTTACATATACATATGTATATTTCCCTTTGCTATGTCTGCTGCAATCATGTTTCTTTAATTTCTATTCTATTTTGTTTAAAATTGCTTATGATCAATTAAGTTGCTACAGTGTCAACTTGTGTGTCTCAATATACTGTTTGGAGAACACTTAGGTTTACTAATGAAAAATAAAAACAGTAGGTTATTTCATATATGTGGGTGTGTATGAAATATAAAAGTGCTCTGCCTTGCCTGCACGATGTATACTACTTTAATATTAAACTTCTATAGGCATCTTAGAATAATGACAGGTGACTTCAACCAGTTTCTCTGATAACAAGCCCTGAGCTTGGTCACAAAGATTGCAAGGAGAAAAGCTTACCCTTCAAGAAAGGGTGGCTGAAGAGTGATTGGAAAGGACATTTTAAAAAAACAAAATGAAAACAAAACAAAACAAAAAATCCTGTACCTATGGAATTAATGGGAGTTTCCTAGAGAAATGGAGGGGAAACTTAACCTGCACATATTAACCAAGGTCAGGAAGGTCAGGGAGTCCTGGATAGTGAAGAGACTATGCATTGTAACAAGCCAGCTCTAAGGATGGGAAAAGGAAATAAGATAGAGAAAGAGAAGAAAAAATACCCTCTTTCAAGGAGTTTTAGTGGTGAAGAGCTACAAATGAAATGAATAAACAAACTACGTTACTAAGAAGGAAGAGATGAGTTCAGATGAGTAGACAGGAAGCATAGTTAGATGAGGCTTTGTAAGGAATAGTAAAAGAAAAAAATGAGGTTTTCCTCTTATTGAAGAAAAAAGTAAGTGAAAATGTACTTTTAACTAAGTTAAGACAAGTATTCTCTGAGATAAGTAAGTTTTAAAATAATGGTTTCGCTTTTTTCTTTCTTTTTTTTTTCTGATTGAGAGACTACTGCATAGTTCCTGAGAAAGTAATATACAAGATATTTTGGGCTCCATAACTAAAAATTAACAGTGGCAAATTCAAATGTGTTCAGGTTAGAGAATCTGAAATAGTGAAAACTCTAGAATGAATACTCTATTAAGAACACCAAAGGATCTAGATGCACTCACGTTAAAGAAATCAATGCTCCAGGGAGAAGAAGTTTCTCTCCGCAGGTAAAAAGTTTTTGTATAGAAAAGGCCAACACATTTTTGTGGTTTGAAACAGGCACATACAAATCAAAGAAGGACATCATACTTCGTGGTGATGGGAATCGAAGATTGTTGATACCATCTCAAACCCTGGGACTCTGACTCTAAGTTTTGGTGAAGAAAACTTGGAAGATTCAAGACCAATATAAATTTTGCCTTTCTCATGAAATTATCTCCTTAAGGTTTGCTCTGTTAAGGGAGACAAAAACATCCAGGATGTCTTAGAACGATAATCCATTTATACAGGAATTTTCAAAGAAATTTCAGCTTTCTTGCCAACACAGATGGATTGGTACTGGCCTCCTGTGCTATACTGACATATTTTATAAGGCTTGCTTGCAATGTCAGTCATGAGTATAGTAAAAGGAAGAAAAGTTCTTTAAACTTGATTTTTTTTTTTTTGGTCCCTTCTCTAGCTCCTAATTTTGAGGCATTAGAAGCAATGCATTTATCTTCTAAAGCAAAAATGACAGAAATAAAACACACTTCCCTTCCTGTGACCAATTGTTCTCATTGTTCAATTCCCACCTATGAGTGAGAACATGCGGTGGTTGGTTTTTTTGTCCTTGCGGGGCCTGTTGTGGGGTGGGGGAAGCCAGGAGGGAAAGCATTAGGAGATATACCTAATGTAAATGACGAGTTAATGGGTGCAGCACACCAACATGGCACATGTATACATATGTAACAAACCTGCACCTTGTGCACATGTACCCTAGAACTTAAAGTATAATAAAAAATATATATTAAAAAAATAAAAAGAAATAAAACACACTTTACTATTTAATTAGATTTTTCATAGTATTTCATAGCTACTCAAACAAAGGATGTCAAAAATTTTGAAAGTCTAAATTTGGACTTAACCGATGAATCAACAAGAAAAGAGCTTTAATTCGGGCGGCCTAAGCCTGAGCTTGACTACAAACCATACATTGATGCTGGGCTCATTGTTGAATACTCTGGTTTACTACAACCACTGTAAAGTTATTTTTATTTTCATGTTATTGATCACCCAAAATGATGGGTTTTAGTAACTAAAAATAATAGAAAAGGGTAATGAACCTTAAAGAAGTATTTTAAATTTACCTCCTGTTGTTTTTTAAGCCAGGGCAGCTTCCTCTTTCTTAGCTTTATTGAGGTATAATTGATAAGTAAAATTTTATATATTCAAAGTATACAGTGTGATGTTTTTATACGGGTATACACTGCAAAATGATTGCCACAATCAAGCTAATTAACGTATCTATCAACTCACATAGTTACCTTTTTTTGTGATGAGAATACTTAAAGTCTTTTCATTTGGCAAACTTCAAGTATATAAAACACTTTTATTAAGTAGAGTCACCATGCAATACATTAGGTCTCCAGAATTTATCCATCTTATAAATGCAAGTTTGTACCCCTTGACCAGCATCACCATATTTTCCATGTCTCCGGCCCCTGGAGCCTCTCTCTTAATGCCTAAGATACAGTATTGTGCTAAGTTAGATTTCTTTGCAAATCCCATGAGTTGTTCCAGATTTTTAGTAATTTAAATAGTAGCCTAGATATAATCCATTTGTTTGCCAAATAGTTCATACTAAGATCTGAGAAACACAAAAGGAAAGCTGCATTCGGAGTATTCTCATAAATACAGTTGAGTATTTTGGGGGTAGCCTTGAGGACAGAAACCTGCCCTCTGCCTGGTATAAATTATAATTAACTAGTAGAAAAGAAATTGTTTTTTTTTTTTAATTTGAAAATGATAGACTAATAAACACATGATGCCTATAATTGTAAATAGTTTTTCTTTTTTTAAAAAGTGTGATTTCAAGTAAAGTTGATTAATAATGGACTCTTAAATCATATGCCTTTTATTTAGGTTGATCTTGAGAGAGGCTCATTTGCGACATAACTCTTTTAGGCAGGGTAAAGATGCAAATTTTCCAAGTGCGTACTATGTACTATTATTAGGAGGATGCCTGAATATACTTTTAAAAGAGACTTTTAGTTAATAAGTAACCTCTAAGTTAAGAGACCCAGTTAGTAAATTTCTGATTAATTATAGTAAAATGTATAGGAATCATGAATTATTGAATTTTCTCTGAACATTCATATTTTAAGAAACTAAAACACCATGTGAGAAAATACTATTGTAATGTGTTTGTAATTAGCTTAGTTTTATATCCAGGTGGCAAATTCCATGAGGGCACAAACCTGTTTGTCATGTTCATCATTTAATCTTTTGGGTCTAGGAAAGAACATAATAGATTTTAAAAAGTTACCTGTAGAGTAAGTGGATGAATGGACCTGATAGAACGTAAAGCAAAGAAATAACCAAAAGAAACGATTCCTATGTTGGCAATACCCAAACATCTTCTAGAGCCCAGGCAATACCAGCCAATAGTCTTTAATTTTAAGTTTATTGAAAATGAAACACTAGCAAATTCTTAATTTTTAAAGATAGTGTTAACTATAGCATCCCTAGGCCTTTTTTTTTTTTTTTTTTTTTTTTTTTTTTTTTTTTTTTAGGGCGGGGTGGAGTTTCACTCTTATCGCCCAGGCTGGAGTGTAGTGGTGCAATCTCACTGCAACCTCCGCCTCCCAAGTTCAAGTGATTCTCCTACCTGAGCCTCCCAAGTAGCTGGGATTACAGGCGCCCGCCACCAAGCCCAGCTAAGTTTTTGTATTTTTAGTAGAGATGGGGTTTTGCCATGTTGGGAAGGCTGATCTCGAACTCCTGACCTCAAGTGATCCACCCGCCTTGGCCTCCCAGAGTGTTGGGATTACAGGCATGAGCCACCACACCCAGCTAGCTATACTTTTTGTGCTAGAAATGTAAGCATAAATTAATAGATATATTTCTAATGGATCAAAGGAACGGTTTAAGCTCTCTGATTTTGAATTAGTCATATCCAGCTTCAAATACTCACTCATTTATCTCTGTAAAATACCCACTTTTGTAGTCTTGGTCAAATTACATAATCTCTGTAACCTCCATTCTCTCATATGTAAAATGGAAATAAGAGTATTTACCTCATAGAATAGTTGAGAATGTAAAATAAAGCTGTTATGCTATACACACACACACACACACACACAGTGATAAGTAAATGGATGTTGATAAACAATAGGTAGTAGCTGTGATTCATGTGATAAGAAAATTCAATTTACTAACAGATTGTATAACCAGGTTTATTTTAAAAATTAAATATTTTTTCCTATACTGATACGTAGTTTTTAAGAACTTGTTTTTTTTTTAAAAAAAAAAAGTAAGTGGATTTTCTAGTGAATTGAATTATGTGGAATTTTTTAAATACAGACTTTCCTAATTTAGCCACAAAAAATTTACGCATATATAAAAAGGGGTCTGGTGTCCACAGGAAATTGAATTTGAAATATTAGATGCTATAAAGGATATAAAATTATTTAGAAACTGATTTATTATATCTGAAATTATGACGTCAATTGGAAAATATAAATCACAATAGACACGTTTTTGGGAACATGAATAACTACTGTAGGGTAAGAGACCTTAAGGTTTTTTGAGTCGATACAGCCTTAGTTTCCTTACTTTTAAGTGAAGATAACAATAATTGTGGGCTCTTCCTCTTTCTCTCTCTTTCTTCCCCACTCAGTGAATAGACATGTACACATAAAAAAGCAGATATAAATGGAGTTTGACATGGCAATTAGTACAGTCCTTGGCACATTACTGACAATGACAATAATGAGTTTGATAATAATGCTCATCATAAATATGTTTAGCCAATTAACACTAAAAAAAGTATCAGAGTCCAGAAAAAACACTGTTGTAAATACAGTAAGGAAGCAACCACTGCATTGAGAAATACCCTTGATTATATTAATTTACCTTCAGAGGCTCATTTTAACTTTAAGATTACAAGATTAGTTTCTCTGCAAAATTAAACTGAAAAATATGACAGCCTGCCTTGGCTTCTCAAAGTGCTGAGATTACAGGCATGAGCCACCATGCCCGGCCTCTAGTTTGATTTCTTAATGTAAATGAACACATAAGAAATGGAGCTTATTCTGTAGCAAGTTTCCTGAAAGTGGAAGTCTGAGGTAATAAAACCTGAAGAAGCACTTTGCCTTTTCCTATCCTGAGAAATACATTAGATATTGTGAATCATTTTTGGAGAGATGGAGTCTCAGTCTGGAATTTGCTGGTAATGTACAAACACCTGGGTTTTTTCCAATTGAAAAGCTTTGGCTTGAATTACACTTCACGGTTTATTGCCTTGTCACGGTGGTACCCATGACAGGTGGGACCTTAGCAGACTTAGGTGTGTGAATTAATTTAGTTTGTGGCTTTGAGCAGAGGAAGAAAATTGAAGCACACCTCCAATAACTGATGACATCCATTACGTGTCTGCTGACATTTTGAGACTGATGCCGGGCATGGGGAATTACAATGATACCATTTTCTTTCATCATTCAACAACAAAAAATACCTACTGACTTCCCTTAGCGCAACAAACTTTTGTTTTCCTCTATAATATGCATGCTAACAGCATCAAAAATTCCATTTTTATGAACTCCTTTGGAAAATTGCAAAGGCAATTGAGGCTTTTGAAGTGATGAAGAGTTTCTTTGCCAAGCAAAGTTTTGACTGTAAGAAAAGTGTATGCCATCTGTGATCTTGGCAACAAATTTAGTTTGCTACTCTTAGACAAGAAACTCTTCTGTCATTGTAACCTGTGGGTATCAATGGATATATGGATATAAAGGATACTGCCAGCAATCCTCAAATCTTTCTTTTCCACTGACTTAAAAGTCGCCAATTAAAGTTTTGGCATATATATGTATGTGTGTGTATATATATATATATATACACACACACTTATATGTATGTGTGTATATATACACATATATGTATGTATGTATATATACACATATGTATGTGTGTGTATATATATACATATATGTATGTGTGTGTATATATATGTATGTGTATATATATGTATGTAGATATATATGCAAATACATTGCCATATATTATGTATGGTAAATATATATGTATATACATAAAATATGGAAGAGCTATGGCTTCATAGCAATAGATCTTAGGGAATTTGAATGAAATTCAGTCATCAGCTTCACTTTTTTGAGAAGAAAAATGTCCAGATTGCAAAATAGTTTGACAGTAAGAAATTCATCAATTACTCGGATTGTTTAGTAAATAACTTGAGCCATAAAAATAAAATAAATTTTATTGTATGATGCAAGGTCATCCAATCAGTCACCTCAAGTGCTACCTAAGCAGGTGGCTACCTCACCTATCTGTCATTTAACAATGGAGTATTGATGCCAACTAATAATGGATTTTCCTGTGTTGTAGGAGGTGCTTCTTAGTAGCAAACGCAGCTGATTTCTCTGCAGTTAAAAACAAGCACATTAGAGTAGTGTTAAACTTATCTGAAGGTTAATTATTCTTAGGTGACTTGAAAGTGTGATTTCTCTTCCTTTACTACATCTCAGAGTATTAATGACTTGAAACTTGCTAATCTGGTAAGAAAATGAAATACTCCAGTTCAAATTCCCTCAATAAGTCCTGTAGAATCTTGTTATTCATTAATGCATGAATATCAGTGTCAAGCAACAAAACTTTTGACAATTTTTATTTTGTTTGCTAACCTTGTGAACTATGATATTATTACTGTTGTCATCAAAATAGAGAAGTTCAAATCAAATAGATGTAAAAAAGGAAATACATTAATTATTTCCAGGGGAACATACTCCTCAAAATTTAACTTCATCTTTAAAGCAAACAATATTGACTTATCAAAAAATATGCATACTTTCTAGCAGAATTGAGGCTTTATTTTCATTTTGCTTTCCCCTTTTAGGTTTACAAATATAAGACAAGTAGAAGTCCTGACTTTTAATAAGAAACATTTCATTCCATGTGAAGGAAATTAATTTCCAGCTTGATAAAATAAATTGCACATGTATGTTTGCTGTGTTTAGAAAACTTTTGTTTTATTCTTTACCAAATTAACTATTTTATGTACATTTTAAATAAATCATTCATTTCTGAAGAAAGTGTTTTCTAACTGTCTTTATAAAGGCAAATTTGCCTATTCTACATTCTCACATGACCACATACCAGCCCCCTTATAGCAGTTATCATATGTGCTAGTTTACATACTTGTGATTTCATTAAGCTAACATCTCTTCCATTGGCCTACAGCTTCCAGGAGAGCAGGAGCACTGCATGTTTTTTCAAAAAAATTATTTTATTTCATTTTATTTTTTATTGAGACAAGGTCTTACTCTGTTACCCAGGCTGGAGTGCAGTGGGGTGATCACAGCTCACTGCAACCCAAAACTCCCTGACTCAAGCAGTCTTCCCACCTCAATCCCCTGTGTAGTTGGGACTGTAGGTATGTGTCACTGTGCCTGGCTAATTTTTTTTTTTAGTAGAGAGAAAGTCTCACTATATTGTTCAGGCTGGTCTTGAACTCCTGGGCTCAAGTTATCCTGCCGCCTTGGCCTCCCAAAGTGTTGAGATTACAGGACTGAGCCACTATGCCCACCCTGTCTTTCTTTACCATTGTCTTCCCAGCCCCTAGAGAGGGCCTGCACATGATAGGAAGTTGTTAAATATTTGTTAGACAGTGAAGACTTACCAAATTGAAAGATCCTTAAACCCGAGGGAAGAGAGCCATAGTTTTGTGGTGAAGAAGACCTCGTAGCTGCTAGACAATTGATTTGCTCTGGTTCTAGAGATTTTTAGAAAAAGAAAAAGAGAGGTAGAGAAACAATCAGGGGAACTGCAGATCGTTTTTGGACTAGATAATTTTGTTAAGCCCTTCAAATAAGATCCCTTAAAATATTCTTATACTATTTGTATTATTTATTGTTTTACTGTTTTATATATACACACAAATTTATATATAATAGATATGATATATACATTTCATTGTTCTACATAAATTTAAAGATACACATTGTCTTCAGTGCATCATTATTTTTACATGTATATTCCAAGCACTCTATGAAATAATTACATGATTAACCTGAAGTGTTCATGCCTGTGACCTGCTCTTCACATGTTTCCATTTCGGTGACTCCTAAGAGACATGTCAGTTTTCCGGGTATTTACCAGGGGTCACCAAAGTTAGAAAGTGTTTCTCCAGTCAATAGCAAAATGTTCATCTTTTCTCTAAGGTATGAAGAGTAAAAACTTGTTATCTGAGCTTGTTGGCATGAACAGATTTTTCTAAGATATAAACAAATACTGTGCAACAATTTTTTTTTAAATTTTTGCTTAAACTAAAAGTATGAAACCACTAATAAATAAAATGCCAATCTGGGAGACATCACTATCAACTAATTACTTTGATAATTTGGCTCATAAATACATGATTTTTATCATATTACAAATAATAAATAATTTTGTCAGCTATGCTTTCACAGTAAGTTCAAGATGTTCATTTGTTGGGGGAACTGTAATGAATCAGATAGGACCTGGAAACATACCACAATGTGCAATAGCACCCTGCACCTTGCATAAGAGACTACGCAACCTGTTTAATCTGAATGTTAAAGTAACTGCCACCTTCATAAACACCCACTTCACCCTGATTTGATTTAAACACAGCTCTTATTAAGAGCAATCTCAGATCATTGCTAACTCTTACAGAGGCTTAACCATGCAAGTGCAGTGCTGAGATGAAGAATTCAAGTGACATTTAAGGTCCACTTAATTCCTAATAACAGAAAATACACCTCAAGAAGAAAGCCTGGAGATATAAGAAGAAATAATTATTTCTCTCTGCTCACAGATCATCATAGTCGATTCACTATTACTTTTGATAGTTTCAACAGCATGGAATTCTCAACTTGTGATTCTAGATGATTGTTCTGGTCAAACTGAGTATACATATTAAGTCTGAGAAGCCATTCAGGCCCCAGGCTCTAACGGCAGAACATATCTTTGATTAGGCATAGCAAAGAGTATGATGGTTTTGAAGAACCCATCTATGCTAGCCTTACAAGTTCCTATTTTTCATACATTTCCATTTATTTAATAAATTTGCCATTCAAAATCAATATAAAAATGTGATGAAATCTTAAAATCTACATATATTTGCACATGTATGGATGAATATATAATTCAGTGCATTTTTTTGCATTTACTCTATGAAATACTATCTGGCCTGCTAATCTTAATTTGAAATATATATTGTGATTTTACTAAAAATTGTAAGATCTATAGTAGGATTAATAAGAATAATAGTAACAACAACAAGAGGTGTCTTTAATAGGAACTTAGTGTGTTTATTTTAATATGTTTTCTAATTTTATTTAATTGCATTGTCATGAAAATAATGTTTATGCTAATAAACATATTATGCATTATTATAATAATAATGCAATAATAATAGTTGCATTGTCATGAAAATAAGATGTGTATATATTATTATAATTATTATTCCTTCAAGTAGACCATGTGCTGAAGCCCTAAGATTTCAGAGAATTACATAGTTTATTGTACTCATCCAACATGAGCGCTCTTCACCAGTCTTCCATTTTGTGTGCCTATTTTGCACGTCTTTAGATTATTCTGCATTTATTCAATGGGCAGGGACAGGAAATGGGTAGAGGACTTTAGAGCAGTATTTTATGGGATAAGACTCAAAGTGGTCACCATAACTTCTATCCATAATCTATTTAGCCAGAAAAGAGTCATGTGGCCATTTCTTACTGCAATTATAGAAGGAGAAAAGTGAAACATTTTTTGGTGAACACATGATAGCATCTGCCAGATTCATATTTATTAGTGAACAAAATAATAATCAGAGAATCACATCATATTCCCAGATCAAACAAGCAATTGGGACTTGTATTAGTCCACTTTCATGCTATTGATAAAGACATACCTGAGACTGGGTAATTTATACAGGAAAAAGAGTTTATTGGACTAACAGTTCCACATGGCTGAGGAAGCTTCACAATCATGGTGGAAGGCAAGGAGGAGCAAGTCACAGCTTACGTGGATGGCAGCAGTCAAAAACAGAGAGCTTATGCAGAAAAATTCTGCCTTATGAAGCCATCAAATCTTGTGAAACGTATTCACTATCATGAGAACAGCACGGGAAAGACTTGCCCCCAGGATTCAATTACCTCCCATTGGGTCCCTCCCACGACATGTGGAATTCAGGATGAGATTTGTCTGGGACTCAGACGAACCATATCAGGACTCTATGTGTCATTTAAAGTCAGGTGTGGCATTTCTAGCTATGATGAAATAAATAGAGCTAGACATGATGTCCCATAATGGAAAATGAAAAAGTAGATAAAATGTAAGAATCAAGCGCTTGTAGATGTTGATCAACATGCTGCATAAGACTGTGGGGCCTGAAAAGAGAGAAAAAAAATGAAGCAAGCCTTATAATTACCCTTGCTTTCTGGAAGCACTCTCTGGACCACAGTAGAAGAATAGGGAAACTAAGCAAAAAACAGCGAATTATCAAATTTGCTAGATAGAAATTGGAGTTTGATAAGCCTGAGCCAGCTGATACTAGTGATCAGAGGAACAGAGAGGATGGAGCTATGCAGAGAAAAATCATAAATCTACTCAAGGGTCCTTGAGTGAAACTCTCCAGTATGGGGAAAAAAAAAAGATGGGAGCTGTCAGTAAAAACAATCTCATAGTCCACTCAGAGATGGAATAATTTAAGTTCGAAACAGCTACAGAAGGAAGGCTTTGTTAAACACTCTGGCCCTTAAGGAAAGACCACAGATTATCATGCCTTTTGACCAGGACTAAACTTCCCTAGAGTGGAGGCTGTAAGAGATCTACCACAACAAAACATAAACCAAGTTTCAAAAGGATCCAGATGTCCCACAAATAACTTAAGTGTTAGCAAGAATAAAGTGTAGGGATATATAAAAAATCAGAATAAAATACAGCTCTCAACAATATAATATTCAAATTGTCCAGCATCTCCTATAAAATTGTTATGTCAAGAAGCAGGGGAAATATGAGCTAGCTATTGCTACATATAAAGGATATATATACATATACATATACATGCACAAACATATACATACACATATATACATATATATGTGTATGTATATATATAGCAATATATATACATGGAAATGAAGGAAAAGTTGAACAGAATGAAGAGATAAGTTATAAAGTAGAACTGAGTGGAATTTCTGAAGCTGAAACATTCAATACTGTAAGTGTTAAATTCGCTAAATTTGATTCAAAGTAGTTTGGAGACTTCAGAGAAAAGAACCAAGAATTTGATGAATCTATATTGAATCTATACACATTGAGACAGAAAAAAATGGAGGCTGATCATACATTTGTTAACGTCAAGGTAACTGTGAACTTGACAGACCTTGAAAAGTCCTTATGTGCAAAAAAAAAACAAAGAAGAACGAATTTCATAATAAGCTCAAATACAGTTTCAATACACAAATTTTCTTTTTCATTTTATTATTTTAAATGTTCTTTTTATACACCATATATGATACAAAGGAGTTATATATCATAATATGAAGAATGGTAATTTGAGGGGTGTTGTGTAATAGACAATATTCTCAATTCATAAAGGTTTTAAGATGATTGTGAAGGCATTGCTAATTTTCTTCTTCTAGTTGCCTAACCACAAATGACACCTCCATCCATATAGTCAGTTGCCCAAGCATCAGAGTCATCCTTGACTTACTGCTTTAGTTCTCTGTACCCTTTAACAATTCCATGACCAAGTTTGTGGTTTCTGTTCCTTAAATTCTGTCCATTCCATCTCTACAAACCACACTGTCTGGGCTTACTCCAAAATTGTTCAAGTTGGTCTCCTGATTTAGCCTTGTGCTTCCAAAATCCATTCCCCATGATGTTGATAGACTTGATCTTTGTAAACACTTTTGATCATGTAAACCTCACTTAAATGCATTCAGTGTCTCCCCATTAATCCAAATAAAAAGTGTATGTTTTATTTTTGCCATAGTTTATAATGTCGTATATAATCTAGCCCCTAATTACCTCTTCAGCATTATCTCCTGCAAATTTTCTCCTTTCACTTAAAAAAAAAAATGAGATTACATTGATAGTGAGTCACAAACAAAAAGCTTATTGCTGTAATACTTTAGGATAAAATCAATCAGATTCTAAGATTAGACTCTCTGCTTCTAGTTTATACAAGTAAGAATTTATACAAAGAGCTGAAAATCTTACAATGCTATGTTTAAAACTGATTTTTTAAAAGTGGTGTTTGTACAGTAAAACACAAACAAAATGGCTGGTGCAGTGGCTCATGCTCATAACCTTAGCACTTTGGAAGTTTAAGGCGGGACAATCGCTTGAGGACAGGAATTCCAGACCAGCCTGGGCAACATAGTGAGATCCCTGACTCTACAAAAATATAGAAAAATTAGCTGGGCATGGTGGCTCATGCCAGTGCTCCCAGCTACTCAGGAGGCTGAGGTAAGAGCATTGTTTTGGCCCAGGAGATCCAGGCTGCAGTGAGCTGTGTTCATGCCACTGCACTACAGCCTGGGTGACAGAGCAAGACTCTGTCTCAAAAATAAAAAATGAAAATAAAATGCATCATGTTACCTAACAGAATTATTAGGTCTCTACTTATATCTGTTTAATGTGTTTTCATCTGTTTTACATTATGGACCTTGTTTTCTGGTTATAATTGTAAAGAAGAACTCTGAGAAAGTTCTGTGATAGTTACCTAAAATTGTAATGTGTTTTGTAATCAAGTTTGGGATATTTGTAAATATCTTCTGAATTGAAATTTTAGAGAATTCCTCCTGTTCAAGGAAATGTTTTCAGTTTAAAATGAGATTATTTTTATTTAAAAAAAGGTCTATACTTACTGCTATGAAGTTTAGAAGGATCTAATTTTTTGTTTGTTTTGGGAGAGTTAAATCATATATTTTAATCTTTTCTTCCACTATCAGATCATAGAATTACGAGTGAGTCAAAATGTTAGAGACAGATAAAATACTGACTAACATACAAATAAATCTTCAGTGACAAAGCAGACATATTCTGCTTACGTTAGCTTTTAATATAAAGGTTATCATTTTGCTTTAATATTCATTGACATATACTATTTTACATTTGTAAAATAACTTATTTTTGAGACATTTGCATATTTTCTATATCCAGAGACATGATAAAACCACTTTGTATGTCAATAAATAAATCTTTCAAAATATGATATAATTGATTTTAGTATCTCTTTTCCAACTTCAAAATTAGCTCATCTGTATAGAGGATATTGAAAGAAAAATTTTGTTACAATTGTTACTTAACTCTTAGTCTTCCCATGAAAGCATACAAGAAAATTTGTGAGAGCAGAGTTCTTGTCTTCCATTATATTTTTAAGATCCAGCATATGTGAGATGCTAATAAACACTCGTTGAAGTCATAAATCAGAATAAATGCATCTGTATTTTATGCTTATTTGATAATTATGGATGCTTGGTATGTAAAATGTTGTATTCTAGGCACTGGGACAGATACAACTGTATAAGGGATATAAGGGTGGGTTAAACAAATTCTCTACTTTCCCATTTAATTAGAATGGTGGCATGTATACAAATTAGGTCTTTATCTCTGAATGGGTTCTTTCATTTATCATTTAAACTTATATAAACTATAGCATTATCTTTTCAAATCTCCTTAGTTCTGATAATGCTTTATTTGTACCACTTTTTTAGTATTTGTCATTTTTTATTCTGTGTCTACAACTAGAAATACCATTCAACCCAGCCATCCCATTACTGGGTATATACCCAAAGGATTATAAATCATGCTGCTATAAAGACACATGCACACGTATGTTTATTGCGGCACTTTTCACAATAGCAAAGACTTGGAACCAATCCAAATGTCCAACAATGATAGAATGGATTAAGAAAATGTGGCACATATACACCATGGAATACTATGCAGCCATAAAAATGATGAGTTCATGTCCTTTGTAGGGACATGGATGAAGCTGGAAACCATCATTCTCAGCAAACTATTGCAAGGACAAAAAACCAAACATTGCACGTTCTCACTCATAGGTGGGAATTGAACAATGAGAACACATGGACAAAGAAAGGGGAGAATCACACACCGGGGCCTGTTGTGGGGTGGGGGGATGGGGGAGGGATAGCATTAGGAGCTATACCTAATGCTAAATGACAAGTTAATGGGTGCAGCACACCAACATGGCACATGTATGCATATGTAACAAACCTGCATGTTGTGCACATGTACCCTAAAACTTAAAGTATAATAAAAAAAAGAAAGAAATATTTACAAGACCTTCATTCTCCACTAGACTGCAAAAAAAAAAAGTAAGGTTAGATCCATGTTGATTGATGATTAATACTTTCAGAGTCCTTAGCAAAAGGAAGAAGTTCAGAATATATTTATTAAATTTATGAATGATAAAACTACTCTGTCAGGCAATATATAGTGAATGCATATGAATGATCCAGTATGATTTAGAGAAGGCATATATCATTTCCAATTGGAGATATTTCTTCATTCAATACACATTTACTTATTGTCACTATGTGTCAACTGTTGGGTGCTGATCATAGAAGTGAATAAGATTGATATATTCTCTGACCTTGTGGAAATAAACATTACTTACTTAATAACTTTAAAAAATAAATGTGAATAAATATGATGAAGAAATCACAGTGATTATGAGTAAAGTCTGTGGTAAAGGAAGTGAAGAAGTAAGAGTCTATTAGGGTATTCCTTCACAGAGAAGAAAAGAGTGGAAATTCTCAGGAATTAAAGGTATATGTGTGAAGGTAGAGATTGAAGGGACTGGATCATGGGCAAAGGAGAGCAGTGATGAAATCATAAAAATGTGGGGTGAGTTTGGCAGCCCTGAGTAGACCAGGAATAAGAAGGAATTCTAATGAGATCAAGAAGGTCAAACTCTAGAGAGGCATCAAATGTTTTAACTCTTAGCTTTATCCTGCAGTAGGGCAAGAATTGGAAGAACTGGGGGGTGGGGTATGTACTGGTAACACAAGCAAATGTTGATGAAAAGAGTGAAACTCTGTAAAATATTTCAAGAGATTTATTCTGTGCCAAATATGAGCAATCAATGGCCTGTGACACAATTTTAGAAGACGTTGAGAACATGTGCCCAAGGTGGTCAGGTCAGAAATGTGGTCAAGACAACAGGAGGGGGTATTGCTTCCAGGTCACAGGCAGATTCAAACATTTTCTGACTGGCAGTTAGTTGAAAAAGTTTATCTAAAGACCTACAATCAATAGAAGGGAACATCTCGGTTAAAGTAAGGGGTTGTGAAGACCAAGGTTCTTATGCAGAGAGAGACTCCAGGTAGCAGGCTGCAGAGAGATTTGATTGTAAATGTTTCTTATTAGACTGAAAGAGTCTGTTCTATCAGCCTTAAGTCTCTGTGTAATGTTAATGCTGGTCAGCTGTGCCTGAATTCCAATGGGAGGATGGTATAATGACTCAACTCCAACCCCAACTTCCCATTATGGCCTGAACTAGTTTTTCAGGTTAACTTTGGAACACCCTTCACCAATAGGAGGGTCCATCAGTAGGTTGGGGACTTAGAATTTTATTTTGAGTTTACTAAAAGAAGCCTATGTGTTGGTTACAGAAGGGATGTGGGATGGAGCAAAGGAAGAAGAAGGGAGGACACATAATAGGAAAATCAAGAATTAGAGATATGTGTTAAAGTACTGCAATTGTCCAGTATTTGCCTGAACCAAGGTGAAGAGGACTTTGGAATGACTGTCTTTAATTGGTTAAAAACTATACCTCTTCCTCATACGAGCTCTATAAGGCAAGGTAAAGGTAAGAACTCTATAGATCTCTTCTTAAGGTCAGATTTAAGAAGCCCTAAGATGATAACTGCTCCTTTGGTATCTCGTAATTAAGCCCCAATTTTGAGAAATTCTTGTAGGAGTTTTACCTTAAGTATATTAAAAAAAAATCATAAAGTCTAATAAAGCTCTCATCACTTTTACACCAAATGACTTCTGAAACTCAGAAATGAAAAAGGTGGAGGAAGTTAAAGGCCAAAGGCAGTTGAAGAAACAAACTATTATTAAAATAGAGGATGGCCGGGAGCAGTGGCTCACGTGTGTAATCCTAGCATTTTGGGAGGCAAAGGTGGGCAGATCACTTGAGGTCAGGAGTTCGAGATGAGCCTGGCCAACATGGTGAAACCTCATCTCTACTAAAAATACAAAAAAAAAAAAAAGAAAAAAGAAAAATTAGCGGATGTGATGGCGGGAGCAGGTAATCCCAGCTACTTGGAACGCTGAGGCAGGAGAATTGCTTGAACCCAGGAGGAGGAGGTTGCAGTGAGCCAAGATTGTGCCACTGCAATCTAGCCTGGGCAACAGAGAGAGACTCTGTCTCTAAATAAAGGAATTAAATAAATAAATAAATAAATAAATAAATAAATAAATAAATAAAATAGAGGAAGTTCAAGCATCCTAGTCATCTTGAGATTCCCAATTTTAGTGCTTAAAAGGAACATGCACAAACATTCATCCAGAGCTACATATATTTTAACCACTATTGTACTTTCATACATAAAAATGCTCATACATTTGGAAAAATCTTCCTATTAATTTTCTTCTTTTTAACCTGGACAAAACATAAGCCATTTTTTTGACGTGAGCAATAAGGAAGATTTTATTTCTATAGTTCTCTAAAGCGATGAAAATAAACACGTAGGAAAAGTTTATTACCATTATGAGAAATACAGTCTGTCTCTTAGTAAACAAAGGAACACATCACTTGTCATAAAAATATTCAGTAGAAAATTAAATTTTGACTAATTTACTGTTCCATGATCAGTGCTACTTTTGTAACTATTTCTCCTGGAAGATCCGTGAGTCTCTGAAAGTGTTATTCAAGTTTTCCCTAGAGTCTAATGAAAATAATTTGCTAATGGATGTTTCATTTGATCTGTATTCAAAGGCAAAGAAGGGCATAAATGATTAGCATCTGAATGTGAGATATAAGAGAGCTTCCTTTAAAAAATGATGCTCTCATAATACAAACAAAAGGCATGATAAATGTTTTTGTCAAATCCATAGAAGAAATAATAGAGAGGACACTGCCCTCCCCCATGAAGGATGTGCAAGGATGAGGAAGATGCCTTGGCAGATCATTTGTACATTACTTTTTGATATGGGACTAGCTCACCCTTTTGAGTGTCGAGTTGTGAACAACTGAAGAGGCTTCAACATTTTGATCAATCTTTAGTTCTGCCTTGCAAGTTCCATGTTTTTTAAATGTATGGCTTTAGGCTTGTGTTACCTGAAATAAACTGTTACCTTGATGGAAGTAGGTTTGAGATAATATTTTTAAAAATACATTTTTGGAAAAATATTTTTAGAGTAAAATAATAAAATTTATAAGGATACATAGAAGTATAATGTATAAGCTTTCTTTTGTTTTTAGCACCTTCAGTTTTACTCGCCAGACTTAACTGCTGCTAACAGTTTCTCATTAAATAAAATATGAAACATAGAAGAAATTACTATGATTACATAAAATAATACTATGCATATTCAAAGTATTTTGTGATTTACTAATAACTTTTATATACTGTTAAAATCTGCATACAACTTTGTATGGAGGAGAAAACAAATTTAGAAAGAAAAGTGGCAAATTATATCACTTGGCTAATGATTATTGGGTAGAATTTTGATATGCAACTGCTGTCTTTAAGACTACTATCCAATACAAGTGGACATGCTTATGCAATCTGCAGAGGATATCACTATGCAGTGGAAGAAAACAAGACAATAAAGATTCCTAAAAGCCAGTCGGTAAATGAAATTAATTTTAGAAAAGCAATCTTGTGGTAGCATAGTACATAAACATCATTAACACAACGTGAGGAAATGGCGATATAGGAAACAGGAAAATCGAGGAATCTGTCCTATGCTGTTAAACTAAGTACTAAACAAGTGAGCAATCAAACTCAAGTTAATATTGGACTTTTGCCCTCAGAATAAGAAATGGTCCATTGCAACTGATAATCCATTTCCAAACATTATACATTATATTAGACGTGCCTGGAATTTCTACTTAGAGTTTTCAACAGTAACACCATGGAATACAGATTTTAGAAGATGAAACAAACAAAAAAACACGATTACACAGACCTGGGATAAGTAGTATACCATATTTTTTGTCCCATCCCTTTGGAAGTCACAATAGACACAAAGATATTAAAAGCTCAGTGGATTCTTACAGAAAAGATACCTATTTAATGTTGTTTATACCAGTTTTTCTCAAATCTATTTGACCCTTTGTCCCATTATTGAATTTACACTATTAAGTTCACTGGACAATATTTTAGGAAATGCATCTTCTTATATGTAGAAAGATTGGGACTGGAAATGTAGCAAGTCAGTTAAAGGAGTAAAGGACACTGTCCATTACATGTCATTTTATACTTTCTTCTTGTTCTTGATTTTGTAGACAAAGGCAAAGAAATCTGTGGATGCTTTGTTGAGAACTCTCACAATTAATTCTTAAACACTAACATACTCAAGAAAACTTGATCTGGGGAAGACATTTTTAACCTTTTATTATACATACTGTTGGACTTATTTCAATCTACATGGATACCACCAATCAATTAAATAATCAACACACATTTTCTTTGTTTACATTTCATTCTGCAAGACTGACATGAAATCTGACTCAAAAAACTTGCAATTTAATTGAGGTGGCTAGGGCACGGATACACTGGCAAATTATAAAACTATGAAATGTTAAATATACATTATAGGAAATGTCACAAGCAGGAATGATTAATTACTGAGTGAGTGTTATGCTGTGAGTTCGGAAGCAGTGAGATCACAGTGGGCTGGTTGTGACCTGGACTGGTGATGAGGTTTCTGAGATTCATATATGCTAAACCATATATTTATGGCTAAGTTCAGGCACAGTTTTGCAAAATGGCAGAATGCTAAAAAGCAAGCAAGTATACTTATAGATTTGCATTTTTGAATTAGAAAAGACATTTACTGGTAAGAAAAAAAAAAAAAAGAAGCTAGGAAATTGGCCACTCCGCAGAACTTCAAGAAGATGTTTTTGAATTAAAACAGTAAAACAAATGGAATGAGGGACTAAAACACGTGTATTAATTAGTTGAGCACATTACTCAATCACAGTTCGTCATCTTTGCCCACTGTTAAAGGAAGAAATGCACAAATAGGTCTCCATTTAGATGGCACTGAGAGTTAGGAAAGGAATGGAAATTTCCCAGTGAGGCAATTCTAAGTTTTGGCTCAAGGATTTTAAGTAAAATTAGACATTAGAAATTCATACAGAGATATTTCTCTGAATCTATAAGTCAGGAATTAATTTGGATAACAAAACTGCTTAGAAAAATAAGGAATGTAGCTAGATGGAATAAATCTAACAATGCAGGATTTGCTATATTGTTTATATCTGGAAGTTGATACGGGCTTATAATCTCAAATATATAGGTATCATTGCTTGGCATACTTTAATGAAATCTGTATTTTCACAAATATGAATATAGGCCACACAGTTTACTTTCCCCAGAATTTTAAAGCATAAAGGAAATTACATCTTATTGAGTCAACCATCCTTTTCTTCATGTAACATATGAGGGTACTAGGCAGAAATAACTTGGTGTATACAAAGAGTTCTCCCAATTCTGCCTCCTACATTATTTTGACAACACTATAATCCAAAAAAATAGACATTAAGCCCCAGAATAGTGCATTTAAATAAATATTAATATTTAAAACATAAGAGATATATATATATATGTTTTTCTTATATATACGCATACAAGTTTGCTCAAAGAAGCATGCTGAAATGTAGTTTATCATTAGGAAACATGATCTGAAAACTGTTGGTTAAAAACTGAACTACTTAAATGCTCCTCTTTTACTGAATCCCAAACCATATCACAGTTCAAGACATTTTTACAGAACAATTAAAAATGCTAATCCAATAATAATTTGCCAGACCTAACCATGATCTAAACCGTTTCAAATCTTTTCTGAACCAAAATCATCTACAGTGAGTCAGTAGCTCTAATTCCCTTGCTTAGTTCAGACTACTCTGAGCTGTGTTATTTCCAGTCATGAGAATGAGCCAGACTCATCAAGGAACCAGCAACTCATTGAAATAAAAGGACTTAAATTAAGCAGTTGGATGATCTTCTTTTTGCTTCTTCTGAGAAAGCTGATGACATGTCTCATGTATTCATTTGTTCATTTAAAAATATTTACTGAACACCTACTATATGCTCTGTTCTGAACAGGGCACTGGGAAATATAGGGGAAAAGTTGACAATGATGTTGCCCTTGTGGAACTTACTAGTTTAGGGGAAGAAAATAGACACTAAGCAAATATTTTCCCCAAAACTAGGGCATTTGATTGTGACATGCATGCAGAAAAAGAAACAAAAGTACTTATAAGAGTAAATGATACAAGGGTCTCCTAAGCAAGTGTTGCAGTTAGAAACTGGAAGCTGAATCCAAAAGCAATAGTCTGTTAAACTGAATTTGGCTGGTGAGTAAAATTTTTTTGAATGTGTAAGTGATGCAAATCTATGCAAATACTTTATATCCTGACTCTTCACACCCCTTTCCATATAATTTCTGTATTGGGCTCATTGCAGTTAAAATAATGTTTATACTATAGAGAATGGCTTACAACTGCATGAGCTATGGAATGATGAGAAGATCTAGAGCCAAATTTTTGTCTTGGCAGCTTTACAAGCCTGTAATTTTTCAGATTGCTTAAAAATGTGATTATTATGTTTATTTTAGCAAATCTATTATTTTAATCTGACATAATCTCTGGGTCATATTTAAGTTTCATATTTAAGTTAAGTCTGACTTAACTTATTTGACAGCGTTTAATTATTGTCTAATTAATTTTACTTCTTATTTGACTAGTGGAGATCAAACTATGTATTACAAGAACACCGAAATATTATCATGTTTAGAGAAAAAATACCAAGGGAAACTAAGAAAAGCATAAACCTGAGCATCATTCCATGCTGGAAAAATATAGTAAATTTGAAAACATTTGTCATCTCTAAGTTACAGATTTGAAGAATTTAAAATTATATATAATTTAATATGTTAAAAACACATGGGTATAGATGCATTTCACTGATTTATTTTGCATTTATTTATGTTTCCATTCTTCAGAGCACCTTTCTCTTTGTATTCGTTTCTTGAATGGCAGGCCGTTTTTCTTTACACCTTGCTTTGTAAGACTTAACAAAAAAAAAAAAAAAAAAAAAAAACAGAAAAGAAAAGAAAAACTCCTACGCATCACGAATATAAAGGGATGTAATTTGTGAGGTTATAAACGTCATCTTTTTACTGTAATAAAATAAACAAAGAATAAATAAAACAGAATTAAACTGAAGCTCATTAGTGAGATATGAAACAACACAAAAAGGGACTCAAAGGATTTCATAGCAAATCTTCAAAGAGCGTTCTTTTGTGTAATAAATGTTTGACTAAGGAGGAAAAACTCCTCAAAATGCCCTTCAGCCTCCCAGGATTTCCACTGCAGGTAGATGGGGGAGAACCGTGTTTTCCACATAAGTAGTAGCGGCTTCCTTTTATCTATTTGAATTCAGAAAAGGGAAATTGGGAAGCATTGAAATAAAGTCTAATTCTAACATAATTTATTTTTAGTTCTGTCAATGACTTAGAAAGTTACTTAACTTTCCAAAACTCAGTTTTCTCATCTTGAGTGAGTACAACAATAGTCTACTGCATAAAGTGACTGTGAATATTTTTTTGAAATGCAGCATGTAAAGTGCATTACACAGTGCAGCATACAGTAAGCTGTCTATTATGAGGAACATTAAAACGAAGACATTATATGCTAAACACAAAAGAAGTAGTAAATACAGATACAGTGATTAAATAGAAGTCAAGCGAAGAGGGGACTGTAAACATAGTAGCATTTGATATATTTTTGTGGTTTCAACACATAAAGAATGGAATCATATTTAATAGTCTTTTGAAGTCATATTTTGTTTTCAGAATCTATGTAATCCAGAATCTATCCCTCAACCCCCAGCACCACCCCAAGTTTTATATTATGCTCTCAATTAAAAAATGTGCTTTGTTGTTAAAGAATATCTTATTGGTTAAAAAACTCACATGGGTGTTGCTAGTCACTACCAGGTGCTAGAAATAATGAAGAGGGTTTGAAAGCATCTAATTTGGGATTGAGACTGCAATAGTTTCTTAGTAACTGTATAATATCCTGTGGTGGAACTTTATATTGTAATTGATATTTGAGGAAGATTCAGACATTCTGGGGCTAAAACTTCTATGCTCAATGATTTATTATGTTAAATATTGTTGAGAGTTTCAGTTCTAAACATTTTAATCCATCGGACAAATTATCATTGCCTAACCCTGTTCTGTCAGTCAGTTAGGTAAATCGGTAGTCATCAATTGGATGATAAGGTGCAAATGAATTGTTCTGTTCGCTCTGAACATAAATGCAGCTGACTCTCCTTAGTGACAGAGTATAAATAGATCATGTTATATAAGGCACATTGAGGTTTTTTTTTAACCTTTCAAAAGAATTAGCATTGCACATAGCATTACTATTTAGGAATTTCCTCCACATAGAACATGGTGTTTAAAAGTCTACTCCTACTGACACCCATCAAAACCAAGAGAGCAAACAGAGATTGAGAATCTGTATTTTCAGGAGTCTTTATAGGTGAACATAGATTTATATAGTCATAGGCACAGATACCTTGCCCAACACTGCAAATTGGAAGCTGGTTAAGTGAAATTTCTATTTAAGAGAGAGACTAGCACAAACTATTTCCTTAGTTGCCTGTCAGGTGGCTATTTTTACTGACTTAGTAAAAAGACAGATGGCTATTTTTACCTACTTAGGAAATAGAGTAGTACACAGTACAGTCCTTAAATTTCATACCTACTTTGAAAGTCCTAACTGCATTGTTATATGCTTCTAGTAGTAGTGAAAGCCAAGAGATATAAATCTGTTTAATATGCAGAGGGAAGACCTCAGCCTACTGAGGATGCAATGCTTTAGAAATTCATGATTCACCCGGAAATTCATGAATCATAGTTATACTAGTGGTTCTCAATAATTTGCCCCAATGAGCATTTCTGTAAGTGTCTAAAAAGACACTGTGAAGATCCAGGAGAGTGTAATCCTCCTTTATTCCATGCCAATCAACATGATAATGACAAGACCAAGCTTCTTGAAGAAGACAGAAGCTTTACATGAATCTCTTCGTTCTTTGGCAAGTGGGAACCATATTGGACACTTGAGCATCTGGGCAGTTTTCCCTGCAGACAGAGATGCAGCGTTCCTGTGATCTATGTGTGCTTTGTGTGAGCCAGGTTGTTATCTCACCCACATGAAAGAACATCTGATCATTTCCCTGTATCTATGGTATCTTTCTATCAATCTCTCTCACCACTGCATGTAACAAGTTTGTATTATCTGGAAACTTTGGTGGAATCCAGATATTATATTCTGTTCCTATCATCTTACTGCCTTGGCAATACCACTGACACGAGAGACAGGTGGTAATTGTGGATTCAGAAATATTGGAAACTGGAAGAGTTATATTTTCCCACCTGGAGCACATTTTATTAATACTTGGAAATGTCTGGACATATTTTAACTTCATATTTGTCCTTCCAGAAAATAAATTGAATAGTCCTTTAGGAATTATAAGGCCAAAGTGAGGGAAAATAAACCAGAGTACTGAGTGAATCTCGTTTTATTATAGAATCTGGGACTGACTGGCCATATAATTAGGTAACTAATTAGGAAAAATAATTAACATCTGAAGACTCTCAGTTCATTATCTGTACATTGGAGACTATATTTCTCTGGAACATGTTTTAGATAATTTTTAATTTCTAAGAAAATGTATATCAAATAGACATTTGAAGATTATAAAATACTATCTTGTAAGAAATAGTTAGCAACAATTATTTGTACATAAATTAAGAATAAATGGCCAAGAAAGAAGTTAATTACATTATAGTCTGAAATTATTTGATAATTAACCAACTGCAAGTGCATTTATTTATGTATGACGAAATGACATATGAGGATAAAATATAATTGGAATATGTTGATTTGTTTATTAATATTTTTAGCTGAACTTACCCTGAGTAAAAACATGATAAGAATGTAACTGTTTTTTGATTACCACAGGGTTAAATTTGTCAATTCCATGACTCTCTTTTATTCAAGACCTTGGAATAAAATAGGAAAAAAATGGGTTAAGGTTTAGGAATAAAGTGAGCATACTTTTGAGCTGATGGAAGAAAATATCAGTATAGAGATGAAAATACAAAACAATAGAAAAATAAATTAATGGCCAAACCATTCAATTCCTTTTGAACAGTCTATTTTAATGGCAATTGTGAGACATTAACCTGAGAAGAAAGGAATTAGTGAAGCAAAGGTGATTAGATAAAGGTGCTTTAACTAGTCATTTTTCAGCTGCCACAAGATATAGCAGTTCACGAACATTAGCAATTCATCTAGTCTTTTTCCTTGCTTTTAACAGTATTCAACATAAAGTCTTTTATCTGTGGATATAAGTTAGAGTCGCAAGATCCAGAGAAGGCTGGGGTTTCAGTAGAATAAATGTTTGGATTCATTCTTGTATCTCTACCAATGATGGGAATGAGGTCCAGAATTGCTCTATGCTTTACCTGAGGCAAGTCTCCTGACAACTGGTGTTTCCTTTCCAATACACTATGCTGATAAGTTTTGAAACTTCTTAATAAAATATTTATCAATGAAATCTCTGGTGGGTTCACCAGTGATTTTCCTAGAAATTAAGATATGACAATGTAGTTTTCTAAGGAAATAGCGAAAGAGTATACTATTGAAAAAACTTTTTTCTAATACTTCCATTTTTTAAAACACATTTAAACACAAAACAATACATCTCTACTAAGTGTTCAGAAAGAAGTATATTGAATAAAAAGTAAAGAACTCTCTTATTTTATCCCAATCCCACTTTTTCCATGTTTTCTTTCTTAATTCGGGTATATTCTTCCAATCTTCCTTTAATGAATTGATGTGGCCATACATATATATATCCACATACAAATCCTCAGAAAGACTTTGGCTGCAACAAGCTAAATATGTTAAAGAAGCCAACTTGTGCACTAAGAAGATTCATCAGCTCATTTTATCTAAAAGTTTACATAAAAGTAGCCTTCGAGGATAAACTAATTCAGTGCCTTGGACTATGTCTCCTCGTGATTTTCTGTTAATCTCTGCCTCCCCTGCGAATTGAGCTATTAGCAGGATGGTTTCAGCAGTTCTCTGTCTTACAGTCCCATACAGCAACATCCTGAGAAAGAGAGGGTTGCTTTAATAAACTATCCCAGAAGGGAAAGAACTTTCCTAGAAGGTCCCCAAGAAACTTCTTTTTATAACACATAGGCCTATATTGGGGCACTTTCCTGAACCAATCACTGTCAAGGAAGATGGGTTTGGAGAATTTTGGGTGAGACTACTTTCTACGGAGGCATGTGATACATGAAGAAATGTGAATTCCTCAAGATGATTTGGATGATCAAGAAGGAGAAAGAAAGGTATGGATGATAAGTAGACAATTTATCATGTTCACTACACACATACAAATAAATAGTTCTTTCTCTTTTCCTGTGTCTCTCTGTATATATAAACATGATAACATATCTTGAACACTTTTTGTGCCATTGCATACAACTCTACCTTATTATTTTTAATTGCTTTATAGTAGGCTATAGTTCAAATATACCACAATATCTAACCAATCTCCTAGAGATGTGAATCACTTTTTGTATTTATCAAGCCTTTCTCTTAAATTTGAAGGATGCTTGAGTTAAAAACTTCTCAAAATTTGGAAGATGCTCAAGTAAAAATTTTTAAAATGACACTCATTGCCATACTAAAACCAAATGTAAAATACAATCCTAGGTTATCTGCATCTTATAAACATTTATATGAAACTACTGTAAGGAACAGCAATGTGTGCCTGGTCCTGTGAGCTTAAAATGCATACTGTAAACAGTTGTTGACAAAGTTTCAGGCACCATATTTCTCTGGTTCTCATGTACAGCAAAATAATAATTCATTGGCAGTGAAAAAAAGGAAAATGAGTGTGGTGAAATGCTTTATTCAAAAGGCACAAAGATCCAGCTGAAGCCAGTCATAGCAGTACACACCTGCGGTCCTAGCTATTTGGGAGGCTGAGGTAAGAGCATCCCTTGAGGCCAGCCCAGCCTGAGCAGCAAAGTGAGACCTTGCCTCTGAAAAAGGAGGAAAAGATCTAATTGAGACAGAATTTCTTCCTAGGAATTCATTTTAGATAAAATATTATGAAACCAACTTTGAACTAATTAAATATCTAACTTTCCCAACTAAGTGAACATTTAATTTATCCCTTATCTAATGTCAACGCCTGGAATTTACTTCCCTTCAATGGACTGTGAGTCTCATGTGATCAAGGACAATGACTGTCTTGTCAATTATTGTATCCTCAGAGTCTAGCACCATGTTTGGCCCTGGAAAACAGTAGTCCCTTAATGAATATTTATTGACCGAATAAATAAAGGAACGAAATTAAGAGCAGTGAAGAATGGTATTGACCTTGTCTTTTCCTGGGGGTGACAGAATAAAAATAGTTGTATATCAAGATCAAATTCTAAGTGCTCTATAAGGAAGGGCAAAAGTCCTATGTAACAAGTGAAATTAATAACAGTTAAAAATTAATAACAGTTAAAATGAATAGAAACAAGGACTCACTAAATGTTTAAATGATCATACTCCTGTATCCTACCTATATGAACTATTACTTATTTTACTTAGGGTTATTTGGTTGCAAGGAATAGTGAAATACTTAAGTAATCTCAAATAAATAGGAGAGAATTTGCTATAATGGGAGGTGTATTTCAAGGGGATTGAGTTACAGAGACCACTATTCGTCTGGGAATCGTAGAAACAGAGTCAGTTCTCTCTCTAGCCCTACTACTCATGCCCAGTCATCCTCTCTCACACTGACAAATTACTAATTCGGCTTCTTCATGCTCTGAATATATCATGGCTAGAGATTCCTTCTCCCTCCTTGTGTTCTTTTGCCTCTTTCTTTATCAGTTTATTTGAGACAGGGTCTCACTCTGTCACCCAGGCTGGAGTGCAGTGTCGTGATCTTGGCTCACTGTAGCCTCTGCCTCCCGGGTTCAAGCAATTCTCCTGCCTCAGCCTCCCAAGTAGTTGGGATTACAGGAGTGTGCCACCAAGCCCAGCTACTGATTGTTATTTTAGTGGAGACAGGGTTTCGCCATGTTGCTCAAGCTGGTCTTGAACTCCTGAGCTCAAGCAATCCACCCGCTTCGGCCTCCTAAAGTTCTGGGATTACAGGCGTGAGCCACTGCACCCGGCTGCCTCTTTTTAAAATATAGTAATGGTACTTTGTTCCAAAGTTTCACTGATCAACACCTTCAATATCCTATTTTTAAAATGCAAACTAAAATATCTTTTTTACTAAGCTTCTATTTTCTGTTCAAGCAGTAAGTAGCCAGCCACCCTCTGTAGGCTACATCTAGGGCAATGTATGGCTCAGAGTCATGTAACATACTAACCTTTCAGCAGGGTTGTAAACTGACAGCCTTTCTGAAGAGTTCGTGGGAAAGTGAACAGGCACAAAATAGATACGGTGCAAACACTTCCTTATTGGCTATTTTTTCAAATTATAAAATCAATATATGTTTATCTCTATATTTCATTATATGTACTTGTATATTTTCTTCCAGTCTGATTTTATTTATATAATTCCAACAGCATATAAAATTTTTAAAAAGAGATGTAGGTTCACACTTTACTTATTTTTATAGATCTCTCTTTTTCTGGTTGCTTATGTATATTACTTACTCCCTCAGAAAACATCAGTTTAAATGACTGTATAATGGTCTGTCTTATGAATGCATCCCATCTTTATATACTTACCTGCAAATCTCCTACCATCAGACTTGTAGACACAATAACAAAGTAGTAAATATCATTTTACCTTAATATTTCTATGCACTCTCATTAGATTCTTAGTATAGATTCCTAGAAATAAATTTTTGAATAAACTTTCATGAACTTTTTAAAGACCATCAAAATATATTGTCAAATTGCTTTTATAAAAGTTTGTATTTACTTTTGGCAAAAGTGAAAGATGCTGTTATTTCATCTTCAGTAATTATCCCTAGCATGAGGCTAATGACCTTATCTAGTAACTAGACTATTTCTATAAAGTACAAAGAAGGAATTTCTAAATAGTAAAAGAAGGCATTGATAGTGCTTGCAATACTGAAGTCTAGACTTCATTGAGAATGTTTATTATTTTGAAGTTGCTTTCAAATTTACTTTTAGAATTTGTAACTTATGTAGGCTAACTACATAATCAAAATTGTCTTAAAATTTGTATCATGGAATGTGTTAGACCCCAGACCATCAATACAATCCTAATAATTTTAATTAATTAATTAATTTGTTTATATTTTTCAATCTCAAATATTAGATATGCAGGCTAACCCTAGGCAGTGCTAAGGTAGTGAGGATGCAAATATGAATAAAATGTTTTTCCACACCTCCAAATTACAAGGTAGGAAATAGGAAAAAACCATTGCATTGCAAAAAGTCACATAGAAGAAGAATACACACAGAGCTATGGGTGTTGAAAGGAAGAAATGAGTAACTGCCACTAGAGACAAGCAAGAGCATCTTCCTAGAGAAAATGACATTTCTCTAAGTGTTAATACAGAAACTCTTATTAGAAAGCAAACAGTAACTGAGTAAGCCCATGGCTGGAGAAGAGAAAAAAGAGATAGATTTGGCCAGATAGTAAAGTGTCTCTATGTCAAATAGCTTGGAATTTATTGTGAGAGAAAGAACAAGACACTGAAGGCAGAGGCAAATTAGAGGTTGTTGGAACTATCTAGGGAAAGATGAAGAGGTGCTGATAACGCTGAGTCCCTGGAAAGCAGTGAAGAGACTTGGCGATATTCAGGAGATAAAATCAATGATGCTTATCGACCAATTAGATGTGGATGCTAGAGAATGGAGAGCTGAGTCTTTTTCAATGGGTTTATTAGTAGATGGTGAATCTGTGAACATAATACAGAGCCATCTGGGGGCAGTTTGAACTTTATTAAGTTTTCAGTGATCAAAAGATATGGTGTGTGTATAAATTTGGAACGCTTGTGGGGAAGTTGAAACTGGTGAAAAAAATTTCAGAGTCAATTTGAGAAGAAAATCACCTAATGTTTGACAGATCAGTAGGATGACTATAGTTTACAATAATCTATCACATATTTTGAAATAGGTAGAAGAGAATAATTTGAGTGTTTCTAACATAAAGAAAGGCATATTTAAGGTAATAGATATCTAAATTACACTGATTTGATACTTATGAGTTCTATGAATATATTAAATTATTACATGTACCCCCAAAATATGTACATATGTTTAAATAAAAAATTAAAGTAGATAAGAAATTTGAAAGTCAAAACCAAATACATAGAATATAAATCATATTCAAAAATATCAACTGGAGAGAGTATAAAAGGAAAGAATATAAGATATGAAATGGAACACTGACAAGAATAAATGTCTTAAAAATTATACAGGACAAAGGAACTATTAAAGGGACAGAATCATTGTTTCTAAAATATCAGTGCAGTGTCACTAAGGAAGAGAGTTAGTGTTTCAGAAGCTCAAAGATAGGAAGTGATCAACTTTGTCAAACACAGCAGAGAGAGCAAGACAAATGAGAGCTAAACTTTGCACAGGGCAGTGTCACAACCAATGAAGTTTATCCAAAGTGCAATTATTGCTAATTAAAAAATTTTCCAATGCCCCACCATGACAGCTTAAAATATACTCAGCATTGACAAATTTTTCTCATTTGGAGAAATAAAAATAAAATATCAGGACTAAAATTGCCCAGTAGACTTTGTAATTATGGACCATTGCTGACCCGAACCATTTACATTAGCTTTTTGAGGAGGAATAAGCCAGATTGTACTAGATGAACTAGAGAATAGTGATATTTAGATAGTGGAAATATCAGCTACTGTCTCAAGAATTTGATGATGGGATGAAGACTACAATAGATGTAAGAAACTTCATTGTGGACTGAAAATATAGATTGAGAATGCTTCTGAGGGTGAAGAGTTTGAACATAGAGGAAATAAATAGTGATGAGAAATAGATGAGTCTGGCAACTCAATGCTTTAACCCAAGATGACAATATGAGAGTGAATTTTTATTCAAAATGGCAGTTATATGTTTTTAAAATTCCATAGAGTTAAGATTTAGTAGTTTTATATGGCATTTCTGATTGACAAAATGAATTTTCTTTCCTACCTGTTCAAATATACAAACCCCTGCAACTTGCCACCATAGTCAACATGCCCAAAGCATTTGGTGAATCTTTTTTCTTTCTTCTTCTTCTTTTTTTTTTTTTTTTTTTTTTTTGAGACAGAGTCTTGCTGTCTTGCCCAGGCTGGAGTGCACTGGCGTGATCTTGGCTCACCGCAACCTCCACCTCCCAGGTTCAAGCAATTCTCCTACCTCAGCCTCCCGGGTAGCTGAGACTACAGGTGCATGCTGCCATGCCTGGCTAATTTTTGTATTTTTATTAGAGATGGGGTTTCACCATATTGGCCAGGCTGGTCTTGAACTCCTGACCTTGTGATCTGCCCGCCTCGGCCTCCCAAAGGGCTGAGATTACAGGTGTGAGCCACGGTGGCCAGCCCCATTTGGTGAATCTTATCCATGTATACTTTGTACATTTCAAATGCCATGAGTGTGGCCAAGAATAAAATGTAGAAAAACATAACACTCCATTGGATAAAAATTATCCTAGTACAGCATGCCTCTTGGAGACCTATTAGAATATAAAATCTATGAGTGGAGAAATCCTGTCTATCTTTTTCATTACTTATCTCCATAACCTAGCACAATTTCTGGTACATGCTGGACATAATAAAGTGAATTGAGTAAGTGACTTTTGGGAGCACTAGATTGGAGACCTTAGATCCATGGAAAACTGAGTTATTCATATGTGTATTGTAACAGGGAACAGGAGAAGAAATGAAAAGGTAAAAGCCAAATAGCTGGTTTCTAAAAGCAAATTAGCACTGGAGAAAAGATAACAATCAAGGATTAAACAGAGGAGAGGTGAAGCAGGCATAGAGACCTTTATATTGTAATCATTCACATGTTTCCTCTGCTTTTCTATATCTGCTTCCTATATTATTTTCTATAATCATAAATTTACTACCCCCTTCCTTTTCTCCTTTCCGTCTTTGCTAGTGAAATTTTAGCATTTAGTTTTGTAAAGTAACAGCTTCTTGGCTGATATCCTTCCGTGTATTAGATAAAGAACAACCAATGTCATTTTTTCCAAATTATAACTTATGTCCTGCTCCACACTGTTTTCAGGAACAAGTCTAAAATCCTTTAGTTTTTTAAGCCCATGCTTAATTTGACCATACCTACTTCCCCAGGATTATTCTATGTCTCTTTTCTCTCTTCCTTATCATGTTTTTCAATTGTTCTCATTTTCCTTACCAGAGTATTTGTAGCAGCCATGCCTAAAATGCTTTGTTCAATCCACTTTCCTTTTTACAATTAACTGCTACTGACCACATACACCATGGCTGTTTCCCTAATTCTAAAACGTTACTCCAGGCTGTGCTCTTTGTAACAAATCTTCTACATTTGTTAATTAACTGTGTGTTTTTTCTTGTGTAATATTATTTGCTCCTATAGAATATAAACTTCACAATGTCAAGGGTTTGCTCATTTGTTTATCTCTGTTTTCCCATTGTCTGATATAGTGCCTGAACATAATAGGTACTTAGTAAATAGTTGTTGGAAAAAGAAATAAATGGGCTGGGCATGGTGGCTCATACCTGTACTCCCAATGTTTTGGAAGGCCATGGTGTGTAGATTGCTTGAGCCCAGGAGTTTGAATGCGCCTGGGAAACATGGCGAAACCCCGTCTCTACAAAAAACACAAAAATTAGTCTGGCATGGTGGTGCATGCCTGTAGTCCCAGGTACTCAGGAGGCTGAAGTGGGAGGATCGCCTGAACCCAGGATGTCAAAGCTGCAGTAAGCCAAGATTGGGCCTTAGCACTGCAACCTGGGCAACAGAGTGAGACCCTGTCTTGATTGATAGATGATAGATAGATGATAGATAGATGATAGATAGATAGATAGATAGATAGATAGATAGATAGATAGATAGATAGATAGACAGATAGATAGATACATACATACATACATAGATTTATACATACATTCATACATACATACATAGATGTTGGGGAAAAACCATGAACCACTAAAAATTAGTATAACTTTAAGTGATTCTCAAGGAAAAGTATTTGGGATCATAGTTCAGAGAAGATCCAATTTAGGGTTGATTGTCAATATTGTGGTAAGAAAGTGGGAAAGTTGAAATTTTGATTAATTGAATCTAACCACTTAAAATTTGTAATATTCTCAAGTAAATGATTGCTTAATATCCAATTATAATTAAAGAACTAATTCCGATTTTTAAAATATTGGCAATCATCGTTACTTATGTTACACAATTGCAGGTTTTATCCAGGTTTCAGCATATAATCTATTAAAAATTCTCAGAATTAAATATTTTACATCTTCACCATTTCAATACTAGATAATGATTATTTCTTTCTTTGATGAGTGAAAGTTTTAATCAGCTGCTGAACTATCAATCTGGATGCCAGAAATTACAAACCATGTTGTACTGAAAAAGTCAGGAAAATGGACTAATTAAGTTTCATTTTCAACAATAAGAGCTGGGACAACCCAGAGGTTCCTTTTTAGTAAATTTTAATGATCCAGAAATTCATTGTATCTACAGTTCCTATTCCACCAACATTTTTTTTATTTTGATAATGTGTATGCAACATAAAATTTACTATTTTATCCCTCAATTTTAAGATTTAATAGAGACAATGAAATAGTAAACACTGGTTAGCTGTTGTTCTCCAAGTCAGTTTCTTCTATTTCCTGTACTCACTGTTATACTGTATTTCCCAGTGGTTCTATTATTTTGGTTTGACCATATGGCTGGGTTGTAGCTCATTGGATGTGGATTGTGAGCCAAAGCTGATATGCACCCCTTCCATACCTGCTCCATAAAATCCTTCCATTGTGAATTCTTCCATGCCTTTTCCTCCTCTAGTAGATGACTGAGAGGACTCCAGAGAATAATAGACACAAAAGTTGAAATGATGATGGTTTCCAAATGACCATTTTGATGGTGATCTGCCACACTGGACCACTTGTGATCACTTAATATGGAGTGTAGTTTGGAATTTGGATGTTTAGCACTTACGTAAACGGCATTACCCTAACAAATACAACTTTCCACAGCAGATATAAGTATAAACTAATAGCTTTTCCAGGTATCGGACGAGTGAAACATATGGTGGGTGCTTTTTCTTTTGTTTGTTTGTTTTCTCTTAATTGACCAACATCTGGAAGTTGAAGGCAACGATTGAGAAGACTGCTCTACATTATCAGTGGCAGAAATCCTAGCTAGGATATGGTGTCCACCTTTTTGGAGTTGGCACAATTCTACATAGGATGCCAAAGGAAGACCTGAGTTTACATCAGAGTGTAATGATGTTAGCTATGACAAAAAGGTGGTGGCATTTATTTCTGCTGAAAATATCTGAAGTGGATGCTGCCTGCACCTTTTCCAAATGGAACTCTCCACTTAGAGTAATTTGCACATATTCCCAATCCCAAATTGCTGCAACTCTTTACAACAACTTCTTACCTTGCTGAGCTCCATTCCTTACTATTTAGGGAAAAAGGTCTCAGCACAGACTTGCCATGTCGCTGTTGGCTCTCTTTTAATCCCATCAGGAAGGTGAGAGGGGAGTACAGGATTGCTGTGACTGGGGAAACCTGAGCCTTAGCTAAAGAGGATAGGGTAGAAAGTGTTCCTTGTGAGAGAGAGGGAGAAAGTTACTGCCTCTGCTCTGAATCACTGTATTTGGGTGGTTCTGATAGTGAACTCTGCTAGGGGTAACTCAATAGAAAATATAAATAAATTTTCTCTTCCAAAACCATTAAAACAATACTATTAAGATCTGGGAGGTTGGGGAGATATCTAAGTTAGAGAATCTTACTTAGAATGATTTTTTTTTTTTTTTTTTTGGAAAACAGCCAAAATTACCAAGGCGTGATTACCATACTCCCTTTGCTTAAAATAATTTAGTGGCTCCCCATTAGGAAAAATATCCAAATTCTTAAGGAAGCCTACAGGGGTCTGAATAATCTTGCCCCTGCTGACTTCTGTAGATTTGTCTCAGGACAGTCTCCCTTTCTCTGTCTTTATTTCAGGTGATTCCTTTCAATTCTCCAAGACCAGGCTCACTTGTATCACATGACGTTTGTACCTGCTGTTTCTACCACATGGTATGTTTTCTGTGGAACACAGTTTTTAGTTAACTAAACATCATCCCTGAAAACTCTACTGAGACAGTGCTACCTCAGGCTTTCATTGACTCCCAGGCCAGGTCAGGGACCCCTTTCATATGTCCATTCTGAAGCATACTGTTTTATTTGCTTAAAATATGACCTGCTTTTTGGGATCATTTGGGTAGGACACCTCTGTGGTGTCTTTTCCTATAGATGGAATATATTTCCTACTCCATTGTTGCCCAGTTTTACCTTGAGCCTTGCTTTGTACAATAAAATGCTAGTGGAAGCGATGATGTCATATACATAAACCTTTAAGGGTGGGATAGCTAAGGTAGGAGATGCTCTTTTAGCCTGGATCCAGCAAGAAAAAGACATGGAGCGGAATTGCGGCTGGACCTGTACAGGACATTAACATGAGTAATAAATAAATAAGCCTTTATTATTATAAGCCACTAAAATATTGAGTATGTTTGTTAATTCAGCATACTGTAGTGAAAGCTGACTAATGCAGTGTCATAGCATGCTTTGTTTTAACATGCAAGGAAAGATGACATGGTACTATTAGATAGGCTGTAAAGTTCAACTTCCTGTAGTCAATGTCCACTCTGCCACTTGGTACTTCGCATTCTTAGACCACATTATTCAATCTCCCCTAGCCTCAATGACTTTACTTGTAAGATTGTATAATACTATAGAATACTTTCATAGGATGATGGTAAGGGTTAAATGAGTTAATACTGTTCAAGTATTTTTTTTAAGATACAAAAATATTTTCATTTAATAAATATCTTTGTATGTCACACATTTAATGGGAAACAAAATATCATGTGAACAGTCTAGTAATACAATTTTATTATCTTTCAGAATTTTTTTTGTCAGCACGTATTCTTTTTGTTTCGTTTTGTTTTTGAGATGGAGTCACTCTGTTGCTCAGGCTGGAGTGCAGTGGCACGATCTTGGCTCACTGAAACCTCTGCCTCCCGGGTTCAAGCAGTTCTCCCACGTCAGCCTCCTGAATAGCTGAGACTACAGGACAGGCATGTGCTACCATGCCCGGCTAATTTTTGTGTTTTCAGTAGAGATGGGGTTTCACCATACTGGCCAGGCTAGTCTTGAACTCCTGACCTCAAATGATCCGCCCCCCTCGGCCTCCCAAAGTGCTGAGAATACAGGCATGAACCACTGCACCCAGCCAGCACATATTCTTGTTATGTTTTTAAAACTAGTTGTTAAATTAGATTTTACTTATTAGTAGATTCTAGTGCAGAAGCTATAGAACAGCAGTCCCCAGCTTTTTCGGCACCAGGCACCAGTTACGTGGAAGATAATTTTTCCACCAGTTTCTGGCACAGAACAAGTCCTCAGTAAATGTTAATTATTAGTATTCATATGACTCAGAAAAATTTTCAACCATATATTTTCTATGATTATTTGATTAATGTCTGTTTCTGCCACTAGACTGGTAGGATTCTGAGAGTAGAAACTTCACTTACTTTGTCATTTTTATGTAACCAGTGACTAGCAAAAATCTGACACATGTAAGTGCTTAACCAATATTTGTGCAGTGAATAAAGAAAATGAATGAAAGAGTAAATAAATGAAGGTAAAAGCCCAAAGCTGTCATCAGTTATGGTAGTTAGAGTAATTCAAAATAAATACTATTAAAATTTTAAATTACTTATAGAAGGAGTAATTTTTCACGTAATACTAGCTTTATGCATCAAATTTTATAAAATATAGACTTAAGCAAAAACCAGACTTCTGGTTGAACTCTACGGGATGGAAGTTCCTATAGTGGTTTGCACTGCTGGCCTAGTGTCAATAACATTGCTATTTCATAAGGGTCAATGGTGCAAAATGCAAAAAGGTAATTATTTGTCAAGATATTTTATATCCTTCCCCAAATCTTTTTATTATCAACTTTTATTTTAGATAAAGCGGATACAGGTTTGTTTGTTTTGTTTTTTACCTGGGTATACTGCACTCAGGTAGTGAGCATAGTACCCAGTAGGTTGTTTTTTTACCCTTGTCCCTCTCCCTTCATGCCTCTGATAGACCACAGTGTCTATTGTTCTCATGTTTATGTCTGTGCATGCTAAATGTTGTGCTACTGTGAGTGAGAACATGCAGTATTTGTTTTTCTGTTCCTCTGTTAGTTGTCTTAGGATTATGTCCTCCAGCTCCATCCATGTTGCTACAAAGGAAATGATTTCATTCTCTCTTTGTGGATGCATAGTATTCTGTGGAGTATATGTATCACATTTTATTTATCCAGTCCACCACTGATGGGCCCCTAGGTTGATTCCATATGTTTGCCATTGTGAATAGCTTGGCAATGAACAAATGAATGCACATATCTCTTTAATATAATAATCTACTTTGCTTTGAGTATATACCCAGTAGTGAGATTGCTGGGTGGGATGGTAGCTCTGTTCTTAGTTCTTTGAAAAATCTCCAAATTGCTTTCCACAGTGGCTGGACTAATTTACATTCCTACCCACAGTGTGTCCCTTTTCTCCACAGCCTCACCAGCATCTGCTGTTCTTTAACTTTTTAATCATAGCCATTTTGACTAGTGTGAGATGGTATCTCATAGTGGTTTTGAAAATATTAATAATTAAGCATCTAATTCTTGAAATTCATGGTGGATAAAACCAGTCCTAATATCATCTGACACTTGTTCTCAAATTCTGCCATTGCAATATTCAGCCTCTCATAGGGGACACTTTTTTGGTATAAAATGTAAGCCATAGTGTTTCAAATCATCTTCCATGGTTACAAATTAATGCCCATCCTATCTCTGATAGCGCGTCTCTATTTTTCTAGTTCCCAGTTTAGCATTGTGTACTGGGCAATGCCCTCTCTCAGAGGCTAGAAATTGAAGAATTAGATTGCATAGCATGGCATACATGTCTTGATTGGTAAATTAGTTGAGTATTTACTCAGGCATAGACAAGTAGCCTGGGAAGACTCATTGAGAATGGGACAAGTATTAGGTGAGATGAGAGCTGGAAGCAGAGACATGTTGGTGTTGAGGGACATGTGTGATATACTGTACTAACATTCACCAGAGACAGCATTAATACTAGAACCTGGGTAGGGATTGATCTTGAAAGTAGAATTCAAGAAAGTGGTTTCAACTATGTTTCAGATAAATCACCCCATTCCCAAATAGTTTTACTTCTACATGGCACTATTTGAAAACACTTGTGAGGAGGCAAGTTCTTGCAGTTAGAAAGCTGGAAAGACTCTTGGTGGTAGAAATAAAATATGTTTCACTATGAGAGAAAGAACCATAATAAACACATAACAAGTCATATGTATTTTTTTCTTTTGAAAAATATTGTGTTAATTTATGAGGGACCAGTGTAATTTTGTTGAATGCATAGACACATAGTGATAATGTCACAACCTTTAGGGTATTCAACACTCAAATAACATACATTGTACAAATAACGTAATTTCTCATCATCCACCCCCTCATCCTTTCAAGTATCCATTGCCTGACATTCTACTCTCTACGTTCACGTGTACACAATATTTAGTTCCCACTTATGTAAGAACTTGCAGTAATTCTCTTTCTGTGTATGATTTGTTTCACTTAAGATAATGACTTCCAGTTCCATTCATGTTGCTGTAGAAGATGTGATTTTATTGTTTTATGGCTGAACAGTATTTCATTGTGTGTGTGTGTGTGTGTGTGTGTGTGTGTGTATATATATATACATATATATATATATATATGTCACATTTTCTTTATCCAATCTCTTGTTTATGGAAACATAGGTTAATTGCATTACTTTTCTCTTGTGAATAGCCTGAAATACACATATGTGTAAAGGTATATTTTTGATACAACGATTTATTTTCCTTTGGGTACATACCCATTAGTAGATTGTTGGATCAAAGGGTAGTTCTTTTAGTTCTTAGAGAAATCTTCATGCTGTTTTCCATAAATGTTGTACTGCTTTACATTCCAGCCAACGGTGTGTAAGATTTCTCCATTCTCTGCATCCTCGCCAGCATCTGTTTTTGTTTTCATTTTTTTTTTTTTAATAAGAGACATTCTGACTGGGGTAAGATGATACCTCATTATGATTTTAATTAAGTCATGTTTATTCTTGATCTTGTTTTTGTTCACTTCCTTTGCCAGTTGAATGCTTTCTCACTTTCCAAGCATAACAAATGGAGATACCTATAAAGGATGAAATATAGGCATTTTGATTTTCAATTGATGCTGTATTAGAGTATGGCTTCCATCAATTATTCATTCCCGGATTTGGCAAAACTATTCTAGTGTGAAGGCGTGAGGATAAGAAGTAATAGATAAGATAAGAAAGCATAGGTAGTAGAAAAATGCTAGCTATTTTTCAAATAATTAAAAAATAATGTACAATAACTAATTGGTCATCAACTGTGCGTTTTTATAGTTACCCAAAAGTAGATATTAATTTCTGTTCTTAAATGCGTATACTTTATTTTTTGAAGTCAAGAATATCGAAGAAAAGGTTAAATCACTAAATACAATTATTCACAATAATAAAATTAGATTCATAAAATAATAGAAGACAGTCATGTGATTATAAAAGTATTAATCCCTAATAAACTCCCAGTATTTGAAAGACACTTGATTTTTCTTTCTTTCTTTCTTTCTTTCTTTCTTTCTTTCTTTCTTTCTTTCTTTCTTTCTTTTTGAAACGGAGTCTTGCTGTGTCGCCCAGACTGTAGTGCAATGGCACGATCTCGGCTCCCTGCAAGCTCCACCTCCCGGGTTCCAGCGATTCTCCCGCCTCAGCCTCCCGAGTAGCTGGTACTACAGGCACCCGCCACAACGCCCGGCTATTTTTTGTGTTTTCAGTAGAGACGGGTTTCACCATGTTAGCCAGGATGCACCTGATCTCCTGACCTCATGATTCACCCACCTTGGCCTCCCAAAGTGTTGGGATTACAGGTGTGAGCCACTGCGCCTGGCCAACACTTGATTTTTTAACATACCAGCCTTCATTTTATTTAAGAGTCGTTCTTTCATTTTTACTTTCATATCTCTCCTTCATTCTCTTTTGTCATGAAGGCGATATGATTAATCATGGTAAAACTACCTAAATGAAAATATATCTATTTTACAATTGTTTTGCCAAAGATAACGGAAAGGCTATATGGAAGTATTTTATTTAAAAAATGAGTAATCAAACTTATTTCTGTTTTAAAATACAGTCATGGAGATAGCTTGGGTAAAAAGCAGAAGCAGTTTAGAATAATAAATGTTCATAATTGATTTAAGCAAAGGAAGTTTAGAGGTGTGATAAGCTTTAGTCTAAATTCCATGCCAGGCAACCCCTATGAATACATACTTGACTTCCTTAGAAAAACTGAAGGTTTTGTTCTCCCCCTAAATAGGTGTTTGCTGTATTATATTTTCATCTCTCTAAAGAAAATTTTGATATCTTGGATACATTATGCAAGCCTCTGGCACTCCTGTGTTTTGTAGGATGCTTCCTCTTAAGTGTTTGGATTGCATTAGACTGTGCTGATTGTGGGCATGCTTCGTCTGGGCAGAATACCAAAGGGACAAAAGCACATTCCTGAGCCTTCAACATAAAGCACTCCATCCATGCAGCCCTGGCACCGGAGGGTGAAATATCAATTATTACAAACATATTCTGGGCACTTTAGAGACATTACTCATTCTTCCATGTGTAATGGGAATTTATGTTTTCAGGATAAGAGAAGGAGTTGGCAGGTGCAATGGGAAGCATTGCAGTAAAATTTTTCTCTACAAAGTGAGATGTTGTCTGTAGAGAGCACGTGCAATACCTCTAGCTTTGCTTAATCTATTTCTCTTGGGGTGGGGAAGCCAGTTTACATTTTCCAGTGAACCATATCCATTGACGATTGCTTTGATTTCATTGTACAGGAGGCTTAACAAACAGCCAACGGATTTATGTTTTAGTGGAAAGCACGACATAACCTTCAGCAGAAAAGCTCCTTCAGAAAGAAACTATGTGCTTAGACTGCCAAGTGCATTTAAATGTTGTAAACAGTCTAAGAAAACAGGACATCTGTGTGCCATGTTCACCAGGCTGAGTGTCCTTTGAATTATGCCCTTGGCGATGAATCTATGCACAGTAGCACGTGCTTCTTGACCTCAACTCCTTGAGCATCTCTCTGGCTGATGTCATAGAGGCTGGAAAGAAACTATGTAATAGTAAAATTTTCCTGTTCCCCTTTGAGGGATTTATGCATTTAAGAGATGCTCCTATTTAACCCACACATTTTGTTCTCTGTTGAGGGCAAAAGCAAAGCAATGATGTGGATAACACAACATGTCATTTCAAAAGATCTTTGTCTTTAATTGGAAAATTAAAATTGTGAACTATGTAATTTTGGAAAATGAAGAGTATAAAGAATTACCCCAAAAAGTTACCCATAATTACTCTGCTGGAGATAACATTTTGTTTTATTTCCTTTATGCATCTGTTTGTATCTGTTGGTATATTCCCATGTATTTGTTCATATCCAGATACATAAGTATTTACAAAGACATACCACATTATATCACAGTTCTTCACTTATCCTTGTATCTTGGACATTTTCTCTTGCTAACATAAGTTATTGTAAAGTTTAATTTTAAATATTTTTATAATATTATATCATATGATTGGTCCAAATATATTTATCCATGTCTTTCCTAGGAGATTCTGATATCCTCATTCTTTTTTTTTTAGGTGTCTGTGATAAAAGGGAAACAAAACAGCATGGGATTTGGAAATAAATTGTGTTGCTTTTTTCCCCTCAAATTCATTTATTTTTAAAATTGACATATAAAATTGTATGTAGTTACATGAACAACATGATGTTTTGAAGTATATATACAGTGTGGAATGATGAAACCTAGCTAATTAGCATATGTATTATCTCACACAGTTAATCACTTTTGTGGTGAGAACACTTCACATCTATCCTCCTAGCATTTTTCAATAATACAATATACTGATATTAACTATAGTCACCATGCCGTACAATAGACTTCTTGAACTTGTTCCTTCTGTCTAACTGTAAATATGTGAATTTGTGTTGCTTTTGTCCAGAGAGTTGGCTTTTGTTAAGAGTCTAGGGTAGAAAATATAATAGTCAGGTGGTGAAGCTAGCTTGCCTCATAGCTGGCTAGAACAAAGCCTCTACCCTGCAAACTTCTCCTGAAACTGTTCGCTAATATCCAAGAAATTTTAATTCCTACTTTGAGCTTTGACCTCTTTAAAAAATATAAATCCTTAGAAGATATACTATTTGAAGCACTTCATCATTTCATCGTGAATGACTTTTCAAGGGGTAGATTTCAATGCTTACCTGAAGAATCAGAGTCTGAAGGGACTAAGGGAAAAGTGAGAGGGAGATGCATTCCAAAATTACCAAGAAAGGGGGTTTCCCTGAGAGCTTGTAAGCAGGCTCTAAATTTCGTCTTAACAGAACAGGGTGATCCGGGAACCTGGAGCCTCTTTAGGGATATTTACTAACCTGGATTAGACATATATAGTTCATTCTTTATCAGATGTTATAACGAGAAGATACAGGAGCAAACAAAAACTTACGTTTGTTCGTTTTATAGAGCATAACACCTGCCAAGGCAAGGACTTGGCTAAGTTATCTTGACAACTCAGACTTAATGGATTTTTTGTTTGCTTGTATTATAGGGATAACATCATGACAATCTGCTTTATTTTTCAAGCAGAGATACTACATTTGGAACAGTGTCAAGAAAAAAATATGGAATCAAATTTGATGTCTGTGGTTGGTTTCTACGTAGGTCAAATACTGTGAGATTTTATTTTATGTATATGAATGGAGGGAGTTTTAAAACCAAAATCTTTTTGGTCCTATTCAGATTTACATGGCTTTGTCTCTAACCTAGGTTCTGTGGGCTTAATTCTAGCTTTGTTGCTTAACTGATGGGTGTAATTAGAAAGTAAATGTTCTCTGTTCCTGTGGCATTTCAACACAAAATTTGGAGATAGAAGGACATATGCCTCATTCATATTTATGCAACGTGTGAGAATCTTGAGAATTTTTTTTTAATTCCTTGTTTGAAAGAATCTGAGTCTCTCATTCCTCAATGTGTATTAGAACATTGCCCATGCTGTTCCTTCCACCTGGAACATCCCTCAAACTTCAATGGAACTTTCTTTTTTTTTTTTTTTGACAGAGTGTTGCTCTGTCACTCAGGCTGATACAGTACACTGGCGATCTTGGCTCACTGCAACCTCTGTCTCCCGGGTTCAAGTGATTCTCGTGCCTCAGCCTCCCGAGTAGCTGGGATTACAGGCACACACCACCATGCCTGGCTAATTTTTGTATTTTTGGTACAGACTGTGTTTCGACACATTGGCCAGGTTGATCTTGAATTCCAGACTTCAAGTTATCTGCCCGCCTCTGCCTCCCAAAGTGCTGGAACTACAGGCATGAGCCACTGCGCTGAGCCCCCCACAGGAATTTCTTCCTCACTTATGTCAAGATGTTGCTCAGATGTCATCTTCTCAGGAGGGACTTAGATGTGATCACTTTATTTAAAACCTCATCTTATTATCTGCATTTTGTATCCCCCCATCTGGCATTATTTTTCTTTCTAGCACTTAACACTTTACAAGGTGGAATATAATTTTTATATCATTTGTGTGATTGCCTTCCACTAGGATGAAAGCTCCACGAGAGCAGAGATTTGGAGCTGCTGTTTCACTGGTGCTAACTAGCACCTAGAGCACTGCCTTACACATAGTAGGAAAATATACACATTTGTTGAGTGAATGCTATTAGTGCAAGATTTTTTTTTATCAATAGATAAATACAGCTATATACAGCTTAGATTGATTTTAGAAAACTACCATGATCAAGGACTCTAATAGCAGCAACAACCCAGAATACCTGTCTGAATACTTATAATATTCTATTCCCAGATTTAAGCAATTATTTTAAAATTAAGTTGGCTGCATTAATTTTAAACTGAATACTTTATCATCGATTTGGGCATCAGCTCCCTAAGTCTCAAAATTTCATTTTTGCAAGATATGTTTTAGCTTAAAGGATATTCTTCCTTTCAAAATATTTTCCAGTAACAAAGGAATTTTTTTACACTTTAAGAGAATACAAAGGAAATTACAATAGAGTATTACCCAGTTTCAGTCAGTCTTTCACCAAAAACATCTAAAACAGGAAAGAGAAAATCAAACAACAAAAAATGACATTCTGAGAAAAACAACAGCATTGCTGTCTCAGAGTTCATGACTTTCTTTCTTTCTTTCTTTTCTTTCTTTCTTTCTCTTTCTTTCTTTCTTTCCTTCTTTCTTTCTTTCCCATTCTCTCTTTTCTTTTCTTTTTTTTTCTTTTATTTTCTTTTTTCTTTCCTTTCTCACCCTCCCTCCCATCTGTGTTTAACTGCATGCATTTACTGGAAGAGGGCACAAATTCATAAAACTTGTTTTCAAAAACACATTATCTATTTCAGCTATCAAACCTGATGCATGAGTTTGTTAGCCACTTTAAATCTGAGTAGGAATTAATTGCCAAATAAAAGATTATGCATTTCACTTATCACTCATTTATTAATCATCATGTACGTATGTACATATTGAGTGAAAGCCCACTATGCAAAAAACATTTTGCTAGTCTTTGTGTTATCTTCAAGATAAACAGAAGAGTCTTTTTATCCTCCAGCAACTTACAGTCTATGGTAGAAAACCACTTGAAAATCCAGGCTGTGTGTGACTGTACTTAGCCAGCTTCCCACAGGGATCTTTCATACAGTTGCTCTCTCCATGGTAATTCATGAAACTGTGCCTATAGTACACAGTCTCTGTGGTCACAAGTAGCTGCTGTGATGCAAACAACTTGCTAAATAAGGCAGGAGACCATAAGTGCTATTAGAGAGGTGTTATCAGTGTGCTGTGGGAGTAATTAATTCTGACTTAAAGTTTGGAGGGTGGGAAAGGGTGGCAAGAGCTAAAATTGATGTAATGCGATTTAAAGTCAGGAAGGTTATTCGGTTTAAGTAAACTGTTAGGGCTACTGGACGTAAAAGATAGAAAATATTTTATAGATCATTTCTAGTTCAATAAAATTACTGATCAGGAAACTGAAGTTCAGAGGGAGGAAGTGCCATTCCCTAAGTTATAGGAATAGTTAAATGCAGTACAGAATTCTGACATCATTTGTTAGCAACTATTTACTATTAGATATTATTTTCAATTCAGAATTTAGCTTTCCTTTTTTTCAACAAAAGTCATCTTTTTTAAAGGAAGCTCTTGATTACTAACATGATCTTGGTCAAACATAAGGAACTTGCAAGGTGAAGTGTATGTAGTATGAAAAACTTTTAGATAAAATAATATTTAAAAATCCACTTCAGGGAAAAATTATTAAAAAGAAATTTTTATGCAGTTTTTCTTAACTATATGAACTTAACATTATAATTTTGTATTTTTTTCTTCTCATGCTTAAAAAATAATTTAACCATAGCAGAAATAGCATGTGGTAGCAATAACAAAGGGGATTATTTGAGTTATTTAGAGATTGTAATAATAAATTTTAAATTTAAAAAAATCCTTTAAGTCTACTGTGACAAAAAGAATTAGAGCTGGAAAGGTTTTCCTCAGGAAATATTAGCACATTTATTAGGAGGCTTCAATTTGGTTCAGTTTCTGAATTCATCCCACCCGCTTCCTCCCCACATGGTGGCTTTCTTGGGAAAAATTATTTCGTTTAAAACTTTTTATTTAAAACTGGAAAAAAAATCCATAGTATGAAACAGCATTTAAGTCATCTTTTCACATAAAAAAAAAATCCAAGTTCTGAGACCTTCAGATAAATAGTCATTGACTCTTGGGTTGACCTTTAGCTATGTCTGTAGGCACTGAGAACTCATGTTCTCTAGGCACAGACATTTAGGGTAAAATTTCATCAGCTCAATACAAATAATATACATGAATGTTATATATCCATTTTTTTTAGTGTTCGAATAAATTATAAACGTCACTCATTAACTCATTCAGCAGACATTTTTGAGCACCTACACTGACAGTAGGCCCAGAATATGCAGTGGTGTACATTTAAGTGGGTTCTTAACTGTAATGTACCTGCATCCTTCCTTCATTTTCATCTGCTTGTCTTTTTGTTTTTGAGCCGGAGTCTCCCTCTGTTGCCCACGCTTGAGTGCAGTGGTGCGATCTAGGCTCACTGCAACCTCCGCCTCCCGAGTTCAAGCAATTCCCCTGCCTCAGCCTCCCAAGTATCTGGGACTACAGGCACGTGCCACCATGCCCAGCTTTTTTTTTTTTTTTTTTTTTTGTATTTTTAGTAGAGACGGGTTTTCACCTTGTTAGCCAGGATGGTCTCAATCTCCTGACCTCGTGATTTGCCCACCTCGGCCTCCCAAAGTGCTGGGATTACAGGCGTGAGCCACTGCGCCCAGCCTCATCCACTTGTCTTAAATCCAGCTTCAGATCCTTAATAGTAACCAACATCTGTATTGCAAGATTACATTTTCTTTTCCTAATTTCTTTCCACGTAGGAATCAAGTGTGACATACGGAGCCATAGAATTACAAATTATGTGAATAATGGCTTTTCTTTTGAGATTATCACTGACTCCATACAAGAAAATTTTCATTCCTACTCTCAGCAATACACAGCAGGTAATGCTGCAGATAAAGGGAGCAACCAGGTTTGTGTTTTGCTTATTTATTTTTTCACTGAATCTAAGCAATTCATATTATTTTACTGCTTTGTCTACATATATCTGGCCTCATCTACAATATTACAGGCTTACAGAAAAGAAGACAATGTTTTATACCCAATAATTTGTATCTGCCTTGGCATGAGGTTGGACTTTATCTATGAAATTGAATTGAAAATACTATTTGAAAGAAAAATTAAATGGAAACACTTTTTAATCAAATAAATTCATACACTTGAAAAATTATGAATCTGTCATTCAAATGATAGTAACTAACATATTTGAAAGACTGCAGTTCTAATAGTGTGCTCAAAATTCAGAGACATAAAAATATTAGTTAAATAAAATATATTGTCAAATTGCTACAAATCCCAAATATAATTTCATCTAGTTTATGAGATATTGAGTTAACTTTAGAGCCAGATTACTTGTTTACTAAACCAGTTCTGTATTTCCAAAAGGGCTCATTATTTTAAAGCATTTATGAAAAGGAAAAGAGATTTTTTGTGTGGATAGTTATTTATTTTTCTATTGAAAATAAAATTAAAGATAGTCAGAAAATATTAATGTCAGACATAGTTGAAAAGTGAGATTATCATTACATTTTCCTCCCATATTTTAGGATTGTAAACTTTTCACTGTTTTTGGTTTTGAGTGTATGTTGTATCTATCATTTGAAAAAGCAACCATGACTTAAAAACAGGCAAAACAACAACAAAATTAAAACGTGTGATTTCTTACAAGATTCCTTGGCATATTGTTTACTTATATATAATTTAGAGTTATTTAGAAATGGTCTGAGAATACTGTGTAAAAAATACCCTACAAAATTGAAAATTTAATGAAACAACTGTTAAATAAGGCATTTAATAGCTTAAGGGTACAACTGAAAAGATATCAGTGATTTATCATACCTTTGAGTTTTATGGAATACTGAAGTACCCTATGATATTATTCCAGGTTTCAAAGTTCCTAAATTTTAATCTAGGAGAGATATAGGAAGCGTAAGCAATAATTCAGCAGATGGCACTCATGCCCTTAGGTCTAGAATCAAACTCAATCTAAAGATGTTGGTTTCACACCTAAGTATAGAAATAGCACTTAGATATCTGTAGAAATTATTTATCATAATACCAGAAAGGGCAGCAAGTATATTTGCAGTGGGGTGGTAGAGTGGGATGAGCAAGCTCATATGATTCACAGTAAAGAACTGATACAGTTGAATCTGTCAGTAACCCTGAGTCTAACTAACAGTGTTCCATACCACTGTCATTGGCTTTTCTGCAAAGTCAGTAATTATCATTTTTGGAGAAACTATCGTTCCTTGTGGTTTAAAACTTTTAAAAATATGTTCACACTTGCAGAGTCACACTTAGTCTTCTTTCTCCTGAGATATTTGACAAATACCCATTAAGGAAAAGCCATGTGAAATGATATTGAAAGGTGTTTCATGGAGGGCAAACATGTTTCCGTTTTTTATATACTTGTTTTGGTGTAGAAAGCAATATGAGATGGAATCCCAATAATGCTTCTTTTTTATCATCAATCCTATGATACTAAATCAATTTCCCATCAAGTATATGAAAACTATAGAACGACCCTGTGGGAGAAAAATCAGAATTAAGACTATTTTTAAAATAAATGTCTTGTCCTGCTAAAGCACAGTAATATATGGTCCTTTCCTTTACCTTTCATAAATTGCATAAAGTTTTGAATTATTTGGTCAGAATCACAATAATGTAAATTTTTCCTATTCACAGTGTGTCATAGTAAAACTGTTAATACACAAAATTTGCCAATAGATTATGTTCTAAAAACAAACCAATAATGCTAAACTTTCAAAGTAGGAAAGCTTAGGAAAAGTAAATTTGATTTCTGTATCTTAATGCCATACAAATTTATTGAATGTTAATGGAATAATTTCAGAAACAGGAGTTAAAACTGCACTTGTAGTCCAACAAAATATCAGTAGCTTTCATTCAAAATTTTAGTCGTCTAAATGTTTAGACTACACAACACCCAATACATTGGGCAGACTGGAGGTCATAGTCAAGATTCATTTTGAATAATAAGAGACATACTCTATCCTCCTCACTCAAGGAAAGAATAAATAGAGAGTCTAAATGGTATCTATATAACTCATGATAGTGTTCCAGAGACTGTGACTTTGTCTGAGATGCTCCTCGGCTGAAGAGATCCATATTTCTAACATTCAGAGATTGTCGCATGAATCCTAAAATTAATTGGTCCATGACTTATGGAATATGTTACCGAGTACAAGTAAGGCATTATAACATGGGGGTCAAGAGTACATACTCAAGTTCCCTAGTTTAAAATCCTTGTTCTGCCACATAATAACTACGTGACCATGGACAAGTTGCTTATCCACTGTGCCTCCATTTCCTTAGCTGTCATGTGGAAACATTAATAGTACTTACCTGATAGTAATGACAGAAGAATTAAAGTTATTACTTGTAAAGTTTATAAAATACTGCCTATACATAGCAATTGTTACGTTAAATATGTTAAATAAAATACACTGGGGAAATGTTTGTATTGTAGCTTCCTCTTTAAGGTCACGATGCATAATTATATTAAAAGCTCCAATAAAAAATAAACGAAGATATGTCTTGGTAACAAACAACTCCAAAATAGCAACAGCTTACAACAAACATTTAATTTTTACTCATATATTATGTAAAATGGTTTCAAATATTGGTTCTGACACTTACCAGCAATGCGACCTTGGGCAATTGACTTAAGTTTCTGCACATCAGGGTCCACATCTGTACAATGAGAACAATAATAGTGCCAATGTACCAGAGGGCAGCTGTGAGAAATAGATATATTAGCGCATGCAACATGCTTAACACAATAACTGGGAGATTGTAAGCATACTATGTTAATTTTATAATTTAAATTCTTTTTCTGTCTTACAAGTGAGGAAACCAAGACTCAAAAGATGAGGTGATTTAAACAAAGGTAATCCTGCTATCAAATCAAATGATGAATCAGAGGCTCTCACTAAGATTGAACTAAATTAAATCCCCTTTGTACTGTTTTGCTTTACATTAATTACTGGGAAATTCTAATTGTTATAAATACCTACAATAATGCTATTGAGATATGTGATCAAGAATTTGTAAAGAAATAACTTTTTCCTAGCATGTTATATTTCGGTGAGACATATAATTTGCCGCATTTATATGCACAGAGACAGAATGTGAGAGAATATGAGATGGCAAAAAGTAAAAATACTGGTCACCATCATTGTGATTTTATGTATTTCCCAGTTCTCATTAATGTCCCACAGTAGGATAGAAGATGGGAACAGTAGGGAAGGAAACATTTATCGAGTACTGATAAGGCTTCTTGCACTATGCTGCACCACGCCCTACACCTCACTTACTTCCCAGAACAGCAACCATGTAAAATAGGTATAGTGGCTACAAATGTTAATCTTTGATCATGGCAATATTATTCCTAGGCTGATACTTTTTGATGTTCTCTCTGTCACTAATTTCAGCTTGAACCATAGCATAAAGTGGAAAATATTATTTTTCACTTTGTTAATGTCCCATTTTCTAAGAAAGATCTCTCTTGATCAAACTATGGAAAAGAAGTTTCATCCTAGTCATATCACTCATCACTCCTTGAAACTGTAGTGTACATTGATAATCTGCATCCCTCAACATTAATAGAAGTGTCTTACATGCAGGGGAATTGTCTGTCTCGTTCACCGTTTAATCCCCAGTGTCTAGGATAGTGCTTGAATGAATGAATTCATCTGAGAATGTAAAATAGAATGAATGAGGCTAAGAGATTTAAGAAATTTATCCAAGCATTCACAGCTTGTGTGTTGTACAACTGGAATTTGCGCTACAGATTTGAGTCCAAACCCTGTGGGCATCCCATTGTGCCAACTGTTTCCACCTTGCTTCAACAGTTAGTATCACTGTTGTCATGGAGAGCAACACAATGTGGTATTAGGTTAAACCATATGGGATGTTTTTCTGAATTTAGTGACAGTAAGTCTATTGTGTGAAGTATATAAAAGAGCTACACTGCTAATGGGAAGGATATTTTGTTATAGAAGAATCAGTAAGTTCAAAGGCCCATATGTCAGTGGAGAGCACAGGTTTTTCTAGAAACTGACAAAAGACCAACATGCTTGGAAATTAGTGAGTGACAAAGGGGGGTTTGAAATGAGATTGGAGAAGTAGGCAATGTATAGATTGTACATAGCCCTGCAGGTCTTGCAAATAAATTCAAATTTTATTCTACATGCAATAGAGATTTACTGGAGATTGTAAGTAGAACAACATAATCTGATTTGAGTTTTTGCAAAGTCACTTTGGCTGCTATGCAGAGAATGGACTAGGAATGGACAAAATATAAGTAAAATAAATGCATGCACACACATACACCTTCACACCCTATATGCTGCCTTTGAGGAATGTGTCAAATGGGAGAAGAGATTATTTTGCACAGGTCCAGAAACATAGTGACAGTGAAGTTTCCATCCAGATGATAGCATCCCAAACCTATGAACAGTAGAAGGTATTGACTCCCTCCATCACTGTTCAGCTGCCTGCCCTCTGAAGTAGCAAAAATGATCTCACACAAAATGGGATCCTACCCTATTGATAGCAACTATAAACCAAATATAATTTTGTATGCAAAATAGTCAGTGCATAACAACAACCTATAAATTTCCTATTATCCAAAAGCATTTTATTCTCTGTACTATGCAGTTGCTAACAGTCGTTTTCTTTCATTTTCTTTTTTATGACCATGTCATTCTTCCATCCAAAATTCCCCACCAGCTCTCCATTTTCTGTTATTTTCTAGGATGAAATTCAAACACTTGAAGTTCCTCATGATCCGATCCCCATAGTCTTCTCCATTCTCAACTTTATCAGCAATCCCTACTCATCCCTCTTTCTCTCTTTCTCTCTCTCTCGTGTGCACACACACATACACATGCACACACACACACACACACTGTACTGAGGCAGTAGTGAATATATTTATCACATTCTATTATTTTTCCCATGTTTAGTATCTTTTGAGAATTTTCATTTTTAAAATTTTTGGTCTGACAAGCTTCTTTTCAATCTTAAAACCTCAGTTATTGTCATCTTCCTCAGAAAGACATCCCTGGTACTTCCTTAATGGGAGGCAGATATACTTAAAAAAATGTTC